>NC_000004.12:150436532-150739562 GCF_000001405.40 Homo sapiens | reverse complement strand
TTACACTCTAAAGGGGAAGATTACATAATGCTGTGGATACCAGGAGGTTAGGAAAGTCAGTGGTCAGCTTAGAGCTTCTTGCAGAGTGATCTGTATCCTGTTATTTCTAGTTTAATTGAAATGTATCAAAGAACATACTGAGTATGATTCCATCATTTGAAATTCACTGTAAATTGCTTTGTGACCCCGCATTTTGCCTGTTTTTTTTAATATGTTCCATGTTTACCTGAAAATAATATTTATTATTCACTTACTGGGTATAATGTTCTCGATATGTCAGTCAGGTCAGGTTAAAAAATATTCTATAGCTTTATATATTCTATATCTGGTAGTAGGCCATATTCTTAAGAGCATACAAATTTAGAATCTCAAAATACTAAATTTCTGTATCTCTAGTTCATTTATCCTTTTATTAATTTAACAGGTTTATTTTATTTCTGTTTGCTTCTCATACTAAAAAAAGTTTATTACCTTTTAGCTTTTAAAAATTGTTCATGTTTTCTGAAATTATACTTTTCAATCTTTGTTTAACCTTATATTGAAATTGTGTCACTTACAAGCATCATATGCCTTAAAAAATTGATTTGACAATAATTTTACTACTAAATGTTTACTTTCTATGTATTTCTGATATGTTTAGGTTAAAATTTATCATCTTATTATTTATGTCCTTTATATTTGCTCCACATCTTGTGTTTCTTTTTTTTTTCCTTCTTCTGAGCTAAGTATTTGTTGCTTAATTTTTTTCCCATTGGCTTGTTGGTTATATATTATTTTAAATAACTTTAGTGGTTACCCAGAGATTGTAGTATGAATATTATAATTAACATCTTACATAAACTGATTCTTTTGCCAATTGATGTATGACACAAGAAACTTATAACACTAATTCAGTTGGTTTCTCTTGCCTTGTATGCTGTGGTTATATATTTTAGATTGCAGTATTTTTTAATTCTAGAAGTTACATAATTATTGTAAACATTCAGTATACTTTTAGATTTACCCACGTTTGTCATTTTCATTGCTCCAATTGTTTTCCTTGACTTGTATCAATCTTATATTATTTTTCATCCTTGTGAAGTATGTTGGTTGGCTGGTGACAAATTCTCACTATTTTATTTGTCATGGAATGTTCTTATTTTGCTTTTGATGATGAGGAAAAGTTTTCCTCTACCCTCTTAGGTTTGTTGTTTGGGGACCTGTGAATTAAACAGACAAACACAGCTTAGCAAGAAAAAAGACCTATTTTTAGTCATAAGTCTGTCAGAATTCGGCCGGCTGCTGTGTCTCACACCTGAAATCCCAGCACTTTGGGAGGCCAAGGCGGGCGGATCACCTGAGGTCAGGAGTTCAAGACCACCCTGGCTAACATGGTGAAACCCCGTCTCTACTAAAAATACAAAAATTAGCCTGGCATGATTGTGAATACTTGTAATCCCAGCTACTCAGGAGGTTGAGGCAGGAGAATCGCTTGAACCCAGGAGGCAGAGGTTGCAGTGACCCGAGATTGTGCCATTATACCCAGCCTGGGCGACAGAGCGAAACTTCGTCTCAGAAAAAAAAAAAAAAAAAAAAAAAAGATTCAGAGAAAAATGTGACTTGAGGAGGGGGTTAGAATTTGGGGTTATATACATACCATTTTAATAGGGTAAAAGTGAAGTAATGAAGGGCACATTTGGGAAAGCTAATGATTTTGTGAACAGTAAGTGGGCCCTTAGGAGAATAGTTAAGTGATATTATAGTTTTGTATCAATGTCTATTTAGATAATTTCTCATCCTGGTACTAACTTCTCATCTTTACTGACAATAGTCAATCTTCCTTGGTTGCAAAACTCCCTGGGAAGGGATTGATGAAAGCTAAATTCTTTTGGGAGCTTCTTCATTTAGGTGGATAAAGAAAGTTCAGAAAAATACTCTTTTTTTTTTCCCACAGTGGTATACTCTTGACCCTTTAAATCTCATTATTGAAGGATACTTACTGAGGATAGAATGCTTTTCTTTCTCTCTCTCTTTCTTTCGTCTTTCTTTTCTTTTCTTTTTTCTTTTCTTTCCTTTCTCTCTCTCTCTTTTTCCTTCGTTCGTTCATTCGTTTGTTCATTCGTTCTGTCGGAGTCTCGCTCTGTCACCCAGGCTGGAGCGCAATGGTGCAATCTGGGCTCACTGCAAGCTCCGCCACCCAAGTTCAAGCCATTCTTCCACCTCAGCCTCCCTAGTATCTGGGATTATAGGCACCTGCCATCATGCCTGGCTAATTTTTATATTTTTAGTAGAGACAGGGTTTCACTATGTTACCCAGGCTGGTCTTGAAGAGGATAGAATTCTTAGGTGGTTGGTTGGTTGGTTTTGAGAGAGGATCTCTCTCTGTTGCTCAGGCTGAAGTGCCATGGTGTGATCATAGCTCACTATAACTTGAAACTCATTGACTCAAGTGATGCTTCTGCCTCAGGCTCCTGAGTAGCTGGGACCATAGGCATGCACTACCATGCCTCGCTAATTAAAAAAAACTTTCTTGGTAGAGATGGGATCTCACTACATTGCCAAGGCTGGTCTTGAACTACTGGCCTCATGTGATCCTCTCGCCCGGACCTCCCAAAGTGCTGGGATTACAGGTGTGAGCCACTGGCCTGGCCTTTTAGGTAGTATTTTTGTTTAGTATTTCAAATAGGTCATTGCATTCTTATCTGGCTTCCATTAGGCTTATTGTTGCTCTTTTGAAGGCCTCTCCCGCTGTCTGCTATTAAGAATTTTTTTCTTTGATAGTTTTACTATTACTGCCTAAGCAGGGTATCCTTAAAAACCCTGCTTGGGTTTTGTAGCACTCCATCAACATATGGCTCAGTGTTTTTTCCCAGTTTTGAAAAATCTTGGCCATTATCTCTTCAAATATTGCTTTTTTCTAATTATGTATCTACTCTTTCTTATACTACAGATACACTTACATTAGATTCTTTTACCATGTCCTATATGTCTGTTATTTATTTTGTTCAATTTTCATTAATTTTTCTTACTATGTTTCAGTCTAGTTGTCATTGACCTATCTTTCAGTAAATTTTTCCTTTTTTGGCTGAGCTTAATAACCCAGTAAATCTATTTTTATATTTATTTATTTTTTTTCAGTTCTTCTACAGTTTTCATTCTTTACTGGAATTCTCTGTTACACAATTAGTTCTAAACATATTAACTATATTTATTTCAATGTCCAGATGTGAGCCAGTTTCTATTTAGTTTCCATTCGTATGATATTGTCTCTTGTGCCTATTAATTGGTGACTGAATGCTGAAAATTGTATTTTAAAATGGCAAGGGTAAATTTAAGTCTCTATGATATTATCTTCCTTTAGAAAGGACTTCCTTTTGGTTTCTGATTAGCAGTTAGACTAATGGCCGATTGTATTAATTTAGGGTCTGAGCTGACTCAAGGCTGGGTTTTTATTTTTAAGTTCTTGTGAGAGTTTGGCCTATTTTGTTTGCCTTCTCCTAGTGTGTAGCCCTTCTGAGGTACTCTGAAAACCTGGGGTTTTGCCATGGCCCTCCTGCATTGGTATTTCTGATTTTTTTCTCCCCACCCTGAAAGCTTTGCTTAGCTTTTTGGCTGCCAGTTAACCTAAATACCAATCACCAAATCTCTGAAGGTCTGTTTCAGTGTTTTGAGGCCTGGTCTATTTCTTGCTTTCTGGGGTACACTTGATTCCTGCTGTAACTCTTGGGTAGTCTACCGGGACTCCTCCACCTTGACAGACTGTGAACCTCAATTTTTTTCTATTTATCTTTGTGAGACTAGTGACAGGTCTGTGTAGCTTTTCTGTTCTCACTTGGGAATAGCAAATGCCTTAATGTAAAAAGTCACACTGATTGTCCTTTGTGTGCTTTCTTCTCTGTGATCTTCACTGGTTAATTTTGGCTGCCTTGGTAACTTTCCAGTGCATTTTAAAAGATTAAAACACAACTTTAATCCAGTATTTTTAGTTGCTTTTGTTACATGGCTAGTCTGATAGAAGCTAATCTGCTATTGCCAGAAGGGTAACCTTTTGCTGTTGTTACATTCCTCAATTATTTAGCATGAAATAATGGTACCTCATTGTGTATGATGTCAAAAGAAGAAAGTAAGTATTCCTTCCTCTCCACCGTAAGCAGTGAATAATCATTTATGTTGTGTGTGTATACATATATTTATTTGATAACATTCATTTCTTACAGGTTGCTTAGCCAGACAATGAAGGATCATCTAGTAAGAGTAGCAAATGAAGCTGAATTTATCCTGAGCAGGCAGAGAGCAGAAGATATTCACAGACATGCGGAATTTGAGGTAGGTTACACATATGGTTGGTGTGCGGAAGTTACCGTTTTTTAATGATAATCATGAGAAATTGTCCCGGTAAAATGGCAGGTCCAAAGAAACATAGTATATGTCATCAAAAAATTAAAATCTAGGTTTATAGGAGAGTCATGGGGGTTCTGGGAGATAGTACATGTCTCTTTAGCCCTCTTGTCTCAATTGTAGTTGAGCTACCACAGAAGCTTGATCAGAGAAGCTTCTTGTTTGGCTGCTCTAATCTTAATAATCAGAGGTAAATCTTGGCTCTGATGGTTTTCCTATAAAGAAAACTGGTGAAGGAGTTGGCCCTTTCTGGACAAAACAGAGCTAGTTAGCCAGAAATGAAAATCTCTATGGCAAAGGTAAGATCATCCAGGTTTCTAGAGAGGAGCTGAACACAGGGGTGTGAAATTTCTCTGTCTTTAGGGTTTGAGAGCGTAACAGTATTTGTAGCTGAGGAAATGAGGGAGCACACACCTCTCTCCTTGGATTCTCATAGGAGAGGACTAAGTGATAAACTCATCCTGGGACCATTGCTTATCTCAGTAGTTGTGCCTGAACATGTATAAGAAATACAAATTTCTAGAGGAAATTAATGGTTTTGTAGCTATAGAAATGACCCAAATTCACCTAAGGTGAACTAGAAAATTTGACAAGTAGTACATTTGCTATAGAATTGGAAAAATATTTAAAAGCACTGTATGGCTTCTAACATATCAAGAACAGATAAACTCATATGTTGCTGACATTTTTCTGGTACATTAGAAAAGATGAAAAATCTTCCAAGTGAATTTTATACAACCAGCAAATCTGAAAATTATTCTAGAAAAATAAAACTCTAGAAGACCAATTTCACTTAAGAATATAAGTACAAAATTTAAACTATAACTTTAAATAACATAATTCATCAATATAAAGAATGAATTATATAGTATGATGACTGAAAATTTTTACTGGAATTACAAAATTGTTTACTTTAGGATATCTACCTGCAAAATAAATTATATCAACAAATTAAAAATAGAAAAAACACGAAGATATCAGTAAAGGTAGAAAAAAAGCATATGATGATTGTTAGCTGCCAGCCGTATTAAAACTCACAGAAAAAGATTTATATAAGAAAACAATACAAATATGGTAAAGACTATTAAATATCATTTTAAATGATTAAAGTCATCTCTTTTAAAATCAGGAAAAATGAGTGATACCTACTGTCACTGTTGTTAACATATTTTTTGATGTTCTTGCAAGTGCAAGATACAGCTAATATAAATGCTAGTAAAGAAAGAAAGAAGATTACTTTCAAATTTCTAATGCTGTGGTCTAGGAAAATCTAATTCCTGTGTCCTGAGGTGTACCTGGATCTTGAACATTTTTCTACCAGAGTTAATAAGAGAATTTGGTGAGGTTATTAGGTATGAGATAGTTATGCAAAAAATTAATAGCTTTTCTTTGACAGTCAGTAACCAGCTAAGAATGGAAATCAGAAATACAGTGTATTCATAAATATGACAAAAACAATGTTTTGGGCCAAATTCTGCAAGAAAAGTACACATGCTCTTTGGAATGAAGCTACAAAATTTTATTAAAGCAAATAAGATAAAATATAAACTAATTCCATGCTGGATAGTCTGTCTTGGGGTCTTGAGGTGTGTGTGTGTGTGTGTGTGTGAGAGAGAGAGAGAGAGAGAGACAGAATCAGTCTTTTGTTTTGAAATAATTTGAGGCTTTCAGGAAAGTTGTAAGAATAAAGCAGGAACTCCTATTCACTGTTCTCCCAGATCTTGTGATTGTTAAATTTTTACGACATTTATTCTCTTTCTCTTTATGCTTTGTTTTTCTGAATTTTGAGAGTAAGTTAAAGTCAGGATTCCCTTCTACCTCAAAATACTTCAGTGGAAATTTCCTAAGCACATTCTCTGTCTTAATCTGGTACAGTTATCAAAATCAGAAAATTAACATTGGCAGGATGCTGTTACTTAATATACCAACATTACTTGTATTTTTCCAGTTTTCCAACTGGAAAAAAGACTCCACACTGTCTTTTATAGCCAAAGAGAGAAAATTTTACGTCACAAAAATGTTCATTTTTCTCAAGTCAGTATGTAAACTCAGTGCAATATCCATTAGTAAAGCACTCCATTAAAATAACAGTAGAGTTGATTTGACATTTAAATATTCTTTATAACAAATTTAAGACACAACTATTATATTTGGATATTTAAATATTCAGTTAATGTGGGAAAATAAATGCTTTAATGTAGTCCTACAATTTGTGAAAAAGTAATGGGATATACTTGCCTCTCCAGAAATTAAAACATCACTAAAAAGACAGCATATATTAAAATTCTTCCAGATGAAATAAGCAATAGGGAGGAAGATGACATGATAAATACTTCAGAAACATATTTGGAAAACTGTAAAAGTAGAACTTGGGCATATGTGTGAATTTGATAACCAAAATGTAGGATATTTAGAAAGTAGAAATAAAAAAGTAGACATCTATTACTACCTATAACATTAAGTGGAGGAAAGATACCATCAACAACTTGGAAAAACATAATGCCTATGACTGATAAATGATTAATATATTCACTGTACTAATAATTCTTATAAGAAAAACAACCCAATAGACAGAAACTCAGATGATATCAATAAGAAATTCACAAAAGAACCTAAAAGTGACCAGTAAACATATGAAAAGGATTCCTATGTAAATTAGATAAATTATTATCTATCAATTTTCCGTTCTTCGGTTGAGAGACAGTAAAAAGAATGATAACGTACTGTTGAAGTGAATAAGAGAGATGAAATGGGCAATGCTGTTCTTTTGTATTGTTAACAGAAAGTACATTTTTAGTCTTAAGGGAAAGCAGTATAGTCATAGCTATTAAAAAATTACATTGACACTCACAAACATGCAAATACCCATTTACCGAGTAATCCTATTTTTGTGAATATATCTGTTAGGAATTAAAAATAATAGTATTTAAAGATAGGTATACATGGCTATTTATTGCAGTATTGTATAAAATTTAGCAAAATAATAATTATGGAAAAAACAAGGAAATGTTTCTTTAAGTAAAGGAAAATTATTTTCTGAAAGAATAGAAGGTTAATAAATTATGAAAAAATTAAGAGGTTGATGGCTTCAGTTTTTAAACATGAGTTTTGACATAGAATTCCACCAAGCCATTTTAGTTAATTATTTTCAGTGTAATTATGTCATTGATTTTTTATTATTTCTTTTCGTTGTAATATTTGTGGGTACATAGTAGGTATATATATTTATGTAGTACATGAGATATTTTGGTACAGGAATGCAGTGCATAATAATCACATCATGGAATATTGGGTATCCATCTCTTCAAGTATTTATCCTTTGGGTTACAAACAATCCAGATACACCATTTTAGTTGCTTTAAAATGCACAATTAAATTATTATTGACTATTGTCTCCTGTTGTGCTATCAAATATTAGATCTTACTCATTTGTTCTGTTTTTTTTATACCTATAGATCATCGTCACCTACCCGTGACACCCTCACTACCCTTCCTAGCCTCTGGTAACCATCCTTCTACTGTCTCTCTGAGTAAAACTGTTTTGAACTCAGAGTTCAATTGTTCAGAGTTCAACTGAACAAGTTCAATTGTTTTGATTTTTAGATCCCACAAATAAGTGAGAACATGCGATGTTTGTCTTTCTGCGCATAGCTTATTTCACTTAACATAATGATCTCCATTTTCATCCATGTTGTTGCAAATGGGAAAGAATCTCATTCCTTTTTATGGCTGACTAGTACTCCATTGTGTGTAAGTACCACATTTTCTTTATCCATTCATCTTTTGCTGGACATATAGGTTGCTTCTAAATCTTAGCCATTGTAAACAGTGCTGCAACAAACATGAGAGTACAGATATATCTTCAATATACTGATTTCCTTTCTTTTGGATATATACCTAGCAGTGGGATTGCTGGATCATACGGTAGCTCTATTTTAGTTTTCTGAGGGACCTCCAGACTGTTCTCATGGTGGTTTTTACTAATTTACACTCCACCAATAGTGTATGTGGGTTCCTTTTTCTCCACATCCTCGACAGCGTTTGTTATTACCTGACTTTTGGATACAAGCCATTTTAACTCGAGTGAGATGATATCTCATGGTACTTTTGATTTGCATTTCTGTGATGATCAATGATTTTGAGCATCTTTTGTTTTGTTTTGTTTTTTGAGACAGAGTCTTGCTATGTTGCCCAGGCTGAAGTACAGTGACATGATCTTGGCTCACTGCAACCTCCACTGCCCTGGTTCAGGCGATTCTCATGACTCAGCCACCCAAGTAGCTGGGATTACAGGCCTGTGCCACCACACCCGGCTAATTTTTCTATTTGTAGTAGAGATGGGGTTTCGCTGTGTTGGTCAGGCTGGTCTTGAACTCCTGGCCTCAAGTGATCTGCCTTCATCAGCCTCCCAAAGTGCTGAGATTACAGGTGTGAGTCACAGTGCCTGGCCCTTGAACACTTTTTCTTTCTTTTCTCTTTTCTTTTCTTTCTTTTTTTTTTTTTTTTTCAGAGCCTCACTCTGTCACGCAGGCTGGAGTGCAGTGATGCGATCTTGGCTCACTGCAACCTCCACCTCCCTGGTTCAGGGGATTCTCATGGCTCAGCCACCCAAGTAGCTGGGATTAAAGGCCTGTGCCATCATGCCTAGCTAATTTTTGTATTTTTAGTAGAGATGGGATTTTACCATGTTGGCCAGGCTGGTCCCAAACTCCTGGCCTCAATTGATCTGCCTGCTTTGGCCTCCCAAAGTTCTGGCATTACAGACATGAGCCACTGCACCCGGCCTGAACACCTTTTCATGTGCCTGTTTGCCATTTATATGTCTTCTGTTGAGAAACGTCTATTCAAATATTTTGCCCATTTTTAAATTGGATTATTACTTTTTCCTATACAGTTGTTTGAGTTATTTACATATTCTGCTTATTAATCTCTTGTCAGATGGGTAGCTTTGCAAATATTTTCTTCCATTCTATGGGTTGTCTCTTCACTTTGTTGACTGTTTCCTTTGCTCTGCAGTAGCTTTTTAACTTGATATCATCCCATTTATTCATTTTTGCTTTGGTTGCTTGTGACTATGGGGTATTACTGAAGAAATTTTTGCTCAGACCAATGTCCTGGAGAGTTTCCTCAGTTTTTTTTGTAGTAGTTTCACAGTTTGAAGTCTTAGATTTAAGTCTTTAATCTATTTTGATTTGATTTTTACATAAGGTGTGAGGTGTAGGGATCAAGGTTCATTCTTCTGCATATGGATAACTAGCTTTCCCAGTGCCATATATTGAAGAGAGTGTCTTTTCTCCAATGTTTGTTCTTGGCACCTTTGTTGAAAATTCATTTCCTGTAGCTGTGTGGATTTGTTTCTGGGTCCTCTTTTTGTTCCATTGGTTTATGTGTCTGTTTTTATTCTAATACCATTCTGTTTTGGTTACTATAACTCAGTAATATAATTTGAAGTCAGATAATCTGATTCCTCCAGTTTTATTCTTTTTGCTCAGGATAGCTTTGGCTATTTTGAGTCTCTTGTGATTCCACATAAATTTTAGGGTTTTGTTTTATTTCTTTGAAGAATGTCATTAGTATTTTGATAGAGATTGCATTGAATCTGTAGATTACTTTGTTTAATATGGATATTTTAACAGTATTGATTTTCCAATCCATAAACATAGAATATCCTTCCATTTTTTTATATTCTCTTCAATTTCTTTTATCAGTGATTTATAGTTTTTATTATAGAGATCTTTCACCACTTTTGTAAAATTTATTTCTAGGTATTTAATTTTGTATGTTTCTATTGTAAATGGGATTACTTTTTTGAATTCATGTTCAGATTGTTCACTGTTGGCATATAGATATGCTACTGATATTGATTGATTGCTTGAGATGGGATCTCACTTTGTCACCCAGGCTGGGTTGCAGTGACAGTCATGGCTCACTGCAGCCTTGAGCTTCTGGGCTCAGTCTGCCCACCTCAGTATCCTGAGTAGCTGTCACTACAGGCATGTGCCACTATGTCCGGCTAATTTTTGTGTTTTTTATAGAGGCAGGGTTTTACCATGTTGCCCAGCTGGTCTCGAACTCCTGGGCTCAAGCAGTCCACCTCCTTATCTTCACAAAGTGCTGGGATTATAGACATGAGCCATCATGTCTGGCCACTACTCATTTTTGTATGTTGGTTTTTGTATACTGCAACTTTACTGAATTTGTTTATCAGTTCTTATAGTTTTTTGGTGGATTCTAGGTTTTTCTAAAAATAAGATCACATCATCTGCAAATAAAGATAATTTGACTTACTCCTTTCCAATTTAAATGCTCTTTATCTCCTTCTCTTGTTGGATTACTCTAGCTAAGGCTTCCAGTTCTATGTTGAATAATAGTGGTGAAAGTACATGTTCTTGTCATGTTCCAGATCTTAGAGGAAATGCTTTCAGTTTTCTCCATTCAGTATGATACTGGTTGTGGGTCTGTCATATATGGCTTATTATGTTAAGGCATATTCCATTTGTATCACGTTTTTTTTTTTTGAGGGTTTTTATCATGAACGGATGTTGTACTTTATCAGATGCTTTTTCAGCATCAATTGAAATGATCATTTTTTTATCCTTCATTCTGTTGATATCATGTATCACATTGATTGATTGATTTGCATACATTGAACCATCCTTCCACCCCTAGGATAAATCCCACTTGGTCATGATTAATGACCTTTTTAATGTATTTTTAAATTCAGCTTGCTAGTATTTTCTTGAGGATTTTTGCATCAATATTCACCAGTGAGATTGGCCTATAGTTTTCTTTTTTTAATATGTCTTTGATTTTGGTATCAGGGTAATATTGGCCTTGTAGAATTAGTGTGGAATTCTTCCCTCCTCTATTTTTTGGAATACTTAGAGTAGGATTGGTATTAGTTCTTAAAATGTTTGGTAGAATTCAGTGAAGCCATCTGGCCCCAGGCTTTTCTTTACTGGGATACTTTTTATTAAGGCTTCACTCTTGTCACTTGTTATTGGTCTGTTAGGTTTTAGATTTCTTAATGGTTCAATCTTGGTAGGTTTATGTATCTAGGAATTGATCCATTTCTTCTAGATTTTCCAAATTTATTGACATATAGTTGCTCATAGTAGCCACTAATGATCCTTTGAATTTCTACCGTATCAGTTGTAATGTCTCCCTTTTCATATCTGATATCATTTGTTTGGATCTTCTCTTTTTCTTAGTCTCACTAAAAGGTTGCCAATTTTGTTTATCTTTTCAAGAAGCCAACTTTTTGTTTAATCACTCTTCTGTATTGTTTTCTTCATTTCAAATTCATTTATTTCTGCTCTGAACTTAAGTATTTCTTTTCTTCTACTAATTTTGAGTTCAGTTTACTGTTACTTTTCTAGTTCTTTAAGATGCATTATTAGGTTATTTATTTGAAGATTTTCTTTTTTTTTGACACGGGCATTTATAGCTATAAATTCTCTTCTTAATAGTGCTTTTGCTGTATCCTGTATGCTTTAGTATGTTGTGTTTTTATTATCATTTGTTTGAAGAAGTTTTTCAATTTTATTCTTAATTTCTTCATCATTACACTGGTGATTCAGGAACATATTGTTTAATTTCAATATATTTGTATAGTTTTTAATATTCCTGTTATTATTGATTTGTAGTTATATTTCATTGTGGTCAGAGAAGATGCTTGATATTTCAGGTTTTTTGAGTGTTTTAAGACTTGTTTTGTGACCTAACGTATGGTCTGTTCCTGAGAATGACCCATGTGCTGAGGAGAAGAATGTGTATTCTGTAGCTACTGGATGCAATGTTCTGTAAATATCTGGCTGGGCGTGGTGGGTCACACCTGTAATCCCAGCACTTTGGGAGGCTGAGGCAGGTGGATCACCTGAGGTCAGGAGTTTGAGACCAGCCTGGCCAACATGGCGAAACCCCGTCTCTACTAAAAATACAAAAATTAGCTGAGTGTGGTGGCATGCACCTGTAATCCCAGCTGCTCAGGAGGCTGAGGTAGGAGAATTGCTTGAACGTGGAAGATGGAGGTTGCGGTGAGCTGAGAATCATGCCACTGCACTCCAGCCTGGGTGACAGAGCAAGACTCCATCTCAAAAAAAAAAAAAAAAAAAAAAACAACGAAATGTTCTGTAAATAACTTTAGATCCACTTGTTCTGTAGTACAGATGAAGTCTGCTGTTTCTTTTTTGATTTTTTTTTTTTTGTCCGTGAGATCTGCCCAATGCTGAAAGTGGGATATTTTGATGTGTCTAGCTATTATTGTATTGGAGTCTATCTCTCTCATTAGTTCTCATAATATTTTCCTTATATATTTAGTTGCTCCAGTGTTGGGTGCATGATATGGTTTGGCTCTGTGTCCCCATCCAAATCTCATCTTGAATTGTAATCCCCACGTGTTGAGGGAGGGACCTATGATCCCCATGTGTCAAGGGAGGCAAGTGATTGGATCACTGGGGGGCAGTTTCTTCCATGATGTTCTCGTAATAGTGAGTTCTCATGAGATCTGATGATTTTATAAGTGTTTGGAAATTCCTCCTTCACTCTTCTCTTTCCTGCCAACTTGTGAAGAAGGTGCCAGTTTCCCCTTCGACCATGATTGTAAGTTTCCTGAGGCCTCCCAACCACATGGATCTGTGAGTCAATTAAACCTCTTTCCTTTATAAATTACCCAGTCTTGGGTAGTTCTTTATAGCAGTGTGAAAACGGACTAATACAGTGCATATTTATTTACAATCGTTATATCCTCTTGCTGGATTGACCCCTTTATCACTATATAATGACCGTCTTTGTCTCTTTTTACAATTTTTGTCTTGAAATCTATTTTATCTGATTAAATGTAACTACTCCTGCTCTGTTTTGTTTCACTGACTTGGAATATCTGTTTTCGTCTCTTTATCTTCAGTCTATGTGTAACTTTATAGGTGAAGTGTGTTTCTTACAAGCAACAGATCATTAGGTCTTGTTTTTTAATTCATTCAGCCACTTTATTTCTTTTGATTGGAGAGTTTAGTCCATTTACATTTAATGTTATTATTGATAAGTAGAGACTTACTACTGCCATTTTGTTATTTGCTTTCTGGTTGTTTTGCAGACTTCTCTTCCTTTTTTCTTTCCTTGTCTTCCTTGTAGTGAAGGTGGTTTTCTCTGGTGGTATGATTTAATTTCTTGCTTTTTATATTTTGTGTACCCATTTTATTTGTTTCAGTTTGAGGTTATTACAAGGCTTGCCAACACAATCTTATAACCTGTTATGTAAAACTAATGGCAACTTCACTTCACACTGATTGCATAAAGAAACAAACACACAAAAAGGAACCTAATAAAAACTCTATGCTGTAACTTTGTCTCTCTAGTTTTAAACTTTCTGTTGTTTTTCTTTTTATCTCACTGTACTATCTATGTCTGGAAAAGTTTTTGTAGTTATTATTCATTGGTTCATTATTTAGTCTTTCTACTTGGTTTATTTATACACTCCAATTACAATGTAATACTATCCTGTGCTTTTCTGTGTGCTTACTATTACCAGTGAGATTTGTACCTTCAGATGGTTTCTTCTTGCTCATGAACATCCTTGTCTTTCAGATTGTAGAGCTCCCTTTAGCATTTCTTTTAGGACACGCCTGGTGTTGATGAAATCCTTTAGCGTTTGTTTGACTGGGAAAGTCTTTTTATCTCCTTCATGCTTAAAGGATATTTTCACTGGATATACTATTCTAGAGTAAAAGTGTTTTTCTTTCAGCACTTTAAATATGTCTTGCCACTCTTGTGGCCTGTAAGGTTTCCGCTGAAAAGTCTGCTGCCAGATGTATTGAAGCACCATTGTATGTGATTTCTTTTCTCTTGCTGCATTTAGGATCCTTTCTTTATTCTTGACCTTTAGATTATTAGATGCCCAGAGGTAATCTTCTTTCTGCTTGCTGTTCTATAAGCTTCTTTTACTTGAATTTGATATCTTTCTCAAGGTTGGGAAAGTTCTCTGATTATTCTTTTGAATAGACTTTCTACCCCTCTCTTTTTATCTACCTCTTCTTTAAAGCTATTAACTCTTAGATTTGCCCCTTTGAAGCTGTTTTCTGATTTTGTAGGCATGCTTCATTTTTTCTTATTCCTTTTTCTCTCCTCTATGTATTTTCAAATAGCCTGTCTTCAAGCTCACTACTTCCTTCTTGATCAGTTCTGCTATTAAGAGACTCTGATGACTCTGATGCATTCTTCAGCATGTTATTGCATTTTTCAATTATAGAATTTCTGCTATATGTATGTGTGTGTGTGTGTGTGTATATATATACATATATATATGTATATATATACATATATTTAAATTTATTTTATTTTATTTTTTGAGACAGGGTCTGGCTCTATCACCCAGGCTGCAGTGCAGTGGTGGGATATCAACTCACTGTAAACTCCACCTCCCTACTCATTCTGCTTGATTTAAAAAAAAAATTTAATCCTTTTGTTAAATTTATCTGATAAAATTCTGAATTTCTTCTCTGTGTTATCTTGAATTTCTTTGAGTTGCCTCAAAACAGCTATTTTGAATTAACTATCTTAGTTGTCATATGTCTCTGTTTCGTCAGAATTGGTTCCTGGTGCCTTATTTAGTTCATTGGTGAGGTCATGTTTTCATGGATGATGTTTATACTTGCTAATGTTCTTCAGTGTATGAGCATTGAAGAGTTAGGTATTTATTGTAGTCTTCACAGTCTGGGCTTGTTTGTGACTGTTGTCCTTGGGAAGGCTTTCCAGGTATTTGAAAGGACTTGGACCCCAACCCCAATAAGGCTGTGTTTTTTGCTGACTCGTAGAGGTACCATTTTGGTGGTCTTAGATAAGATGTGGAAGAATTATCTGGATTACCAGCCAGAGGCTCTTGTTCTTTTCCCTTTCTCCCATACAAACAGGGTCTGTCTCTCTTTGCTGAGCCACCTGCAACTGGGGGTGTGGTGATGCAAGTAAGTCTGTGGCCACCACCACTAGGGCTGCACTGGGTTAGACCTGAAACCTGCACAGCACTAGGTCTTGCCCCAGTTTCTTCCCTTCAGGGCCGTGAGTTCCCACAGGCTCCGGGAATGTCCAAAGTGCTGTCTGGGAGCCAGGGACTGGAGTTAAACAGCTTAGCAATTTTCCTGATATTCTATTCTACTGTCATTATGCCTGCACTCAAACCACAATACAAAGTCTTTCCTACTCTTCACTTTCCACAGGCAGAGCTGCCTTTCCCTGTGGCCACCCCCACCACCGGTCCACAGGGGATTCCTTCAGGCCACCACTGATGTTTACTGAGAGCCTAGGGGCTCTTCTGTCAGCTTGTGATGAATGCTGCCAGGCCTGAGACTCGCTCTTTAGGTCAGTGAGCTCCCCTCTGTCCCAAAGCACATCTGGAAATGCTGTCCAAGAGCCTAAGCCTGGACTTTGGGACCCCAAGAGCCAGCTTATTGCTCTACCCCCATGTAGCCGAGCTGGTACATAGGATGCAAGACAAAGTTCCCTTTATTTTTCCCTCTGCTTTTCTGAAACATTAGTAGTATTTCACTGTAGGCACCATAGCTGGGAATATGCTGGGTCACCCCTGAAGCTAGTAAGTCTCAAAGCCCAAGACACATGGTATATTCCCTTCGTTATCACTGCTGGTTATTCAGGGCCCAAGAGTTCTTTAATCTGCAGGTGATGAATCCTACCAGGACTGGATCCTTACCTTCAAGGCACTGGGTTCACTTTTGGTCCAGGTTGTGTCTAGAAATGAAATATCATCTGAGAGCTAAGGCCTGGAACGGGGCCTCATGACTCTGCCTGGTGCCCTATCCTACTGTGGCTGAGCTGGTATCCAAAATGCAAGTCAAAGTCCTCTTTACTCTTTGCTCTCCTCTCATTAAGCAGAAGCAAGGAGTAACTTTCATTGCTATGAGCTTCACTCCCTGGGGTTAGGGCACGGCTAATGCAAGCACTTCCTTAGCCACGCAAGCTGGTGTGTCTCTAGGTCATGTGCCACCCTAGTTCACTGGCCCTGAGCCCAACCCAGCACTAGGAGGAGCCTAGAAATTGCCGTCCTTGTGTCCTAGACTTCCTTTCAAGTTTATCTAGGAACCCAGTGTACTTTAGCCTGCGTGGCGAGGCTTGCCAAGAAACTCATGTTCTGTCCCCTGGGATATGTCATTCCCCTCTGGCTAGGGCTGGTCCTCATGCTCCCTCTATGGAAGGAGCCCAGCATAGCTTTATTCTTTGCTCTGACAGGGCAGCACTGAGACCAATGTAAAGTTCTCCAGTCGTTGAGCTCTCCTTCCCCAAAGTGCAGTTTCTGTCTGCAGTGCATGGCCACTGCTGGGCGATGGGGCAGAGGTGGCATCAGTGATTCAAGTCTGTCTCTCCTGCCCCCCTCAATGCCTCTTTCCATGATATGAAGTTAAAAACAAGTACTGTGATCGCTCACCTGATTTTTGGTTCTAGTGATGGTGCTTTGCTATGTGCAGATAGTTGTTAAAATTTGGTGTTGCAGCAGGGTGGACAAACGGGATAGGCCTCTATTCTGCCATCGTGCTCTGCCCTCCTCTGATGTTGATTTTTATGTTACATATGTCAATTCACACTCTCTTATGGAGGCTGAGGATATTAGTCACTTGTATGTTCCTTTTATTTTCTCTCCCCTCACCTCCTAATTTTTAGTTATATTTTAATTTTCATATTGTCTAAATTTATAACATTCATGTTTATAATCACATTTCTTATAGTACTTGAGTATTTGTTCTTTATTTAAGTGAATTCAATACTCACTCTTCATTTTCCCCAACTTTATTAGTTGGAACTTAATTTCCAGATTCTTTCTTTTGACTCAGTTCTTAATTGGCTGCATTTCATGGTTATTCTTTTTCCACAAGGGGCTTATATGTGTTGTAAACTTAAAGTTCTTCCATGTTTAAGAATATTTGCCTGCTATCTTTATATTTGAATGGCATTCTGCTTAACTTTATATATTTTTTTCTGGGTGTGGAAATATATTTTCTCAAATTATTTTTTTTTCCAAATTGGATTTAGCACCAGGCTGCTGCTGACATCAGCATTCTGTTCTGAGGGGAGGGTGGAAGGCTTGCATTGCAATGGAAGGGCATGAGGCACTTGCTGCCACAGCAGATGATCAACAAATGAAGGACCATAACTGCCCCGTAGGAATTGAAGAATTCTTTAAAGATTGACTATTTGGGGAACACAGACCAAGGACATGCCCTAATTTTCCATTTTGGAAAGTCACAGTTCAAGTTGTAAATTTCTGGCTGGTCGTGGTGGCTCACACCTATAATTCCAGCACTTTGGGAGGCCAAGGTGGGCGGATCACTTGAGGTCAGGAGTTCGCGACCAGCCTGGCCAACAAGATGAAACCCCATCTCTACCAAAAATACGAAAATTAGCCAGGCGTGAGGTAGCACATGCCTGTAGTCCCAGCTACTCGGGAGGCTGAGTAATGGGAATCGCTTGAATCTGGAAGGCAGAGGCTGCAGTGAGCCAAGATCGTGCCACTGCACTCCAGCCTGGGGGACAGAGCAATACTCTGTCTCAGGAAAAATAAGTAAATAAATAAAGTTATAAGTTTTTGTTCTACAATTTCTGTATTTCATAAGATACTATAGAATTTAATTCACATTGTCTTCCCAAAAGGAAGAGGAAAAAAAAAAAACCCAGTTCTTCTTAGGAGTCTTTTCTTTTTTGGTCTTAAATGTCAATGATCACAAAAACTTCTGGGTTTTCTTTATTATAGACCTGCATTGCTGAATATGTTATAACTTTGACTTCGGTTCCCTGAGGGTGATTGGACAATGAAAATTCTTCTCTCCACCCAATTGATTGTAATTGGAAATGTCTTTGATCAATACAAAGTACTTTCACTTCCCAGGGTATGAAGAATTCATCAGCATTGGACTTATAAAGCCACTCATCTAAAAAGTGAAAAAGAAAAGTAGAAACTTCTTGGGTTTCTACTTCTATTGTTTGGAGAGGCTCCACAGTCCTGGTATCTATCATGTAACCAAATATGGCCATTGCACATTGCTCAAATGCTTCCTCCAGAGTATCTCCCCATGTGTGTAACTGGACATCTGCTGTATGATCCAAATACTCATAATTCCTATTAACTGGAGGATAGTTGGCCTTGATCGCCTTCTGTTCCTCAGTCAAATTGTAATCTCTAACATCTCCCTCTTTCTGTGCCATGACTGCCTTGCTTGACTTAATATTGTTGGGTAACACTTAAATTCCCTTAGAACTTTGCAGACATTGCTTTGTTATCTTCTGACTTTGAATGTTGCTTTCAGAGGACAGTCTGATATTTTCCCTTAATTTCTGATTTGCTTTTTGTGTCTTCTGCCTGTGATTTCTTTGTCCAAAAAATTCTTTAAGAGGAATATGGTTCAGTATTGAACATTATTTATCAAATTATCCTGGGACATAGTTTCTTGTTATAATCAGCAGATTCTGATTTTTCCTTCAGTTCTTAGAAAATTTTTTAGATTATACTTTGAAATACCACTTTCACTTTATTTTGTTTTTTCTTGCTTAGTAACACTTAATAATATGTTAGATATATGTTTGTCTTTCACATCTATTAGTTATTCCTTAGTTGCTTGACTTTCTTTGATCCTTAGCCTTATTTTTCCACCAGTAAGTACATTTTTAATGTTTTATTTTGTCCGGGATATTTATTTGTAATTTATTTATTATGTCTATAAAGCTTATGTTTTGTTCCTAATTTTGTTTATTTAGGACTTCAGCCTCTTTCCTTAGTCACTTTATTTTGAGTTTTATCTTATTTGCATTATGTTTTTGTTATGTTGTTCATTAGAAAAAATAATCATGAATAATTTTCTTTTACTCCTTGAGATACTTTTTCATCAGATGTTTTGTCTTTTCTATATTAACGTTTTATTTTAAATTTATGTATTAACTTATTTGTTGATTGATTGGTGCTATATGTTTGTATAACTACCATACTTTTTTGTTCCATTGTGTTCATTCTTAGAATGCTCTGTGCAGATATTCTGTTGGCTTAGACAACAGGATATCTTAGTGACTTATTTCCCTCTCCATTCTCTGTGTAAAGCTAATATTTCCCTCTCCTGAGCTACAGTTTGATTTTTGTAGAATATCCTATGGCCTATCATGAAGAGGAAGAGCTTATTTGAAATAGGTGAGGAGTCTTTCTTAGAAATCCTCATTTTTTTCTAAGATTTTGTTAAATATTTTCTACCAAGTTCATTCTATCTCATTAGACTATAGACAGTTCTCATGGGAAGATGTGCTTAGGCTTTGAATCATTTCCCTCAGTCATTTAAGAGAGTAGAGTCGAGTTTACTTCTGTTTTAGTGAATCAGCCGCATTTTTCAATTTCTTGCTTCACCAGTATTTGTTCTGTAAGTTTTTCTGGCATCTCCAGGTAGAAGAGGAAAGAGGTAACGTTACCTACTCAGTTTGTTTCTCTCTGTATTTGAAGGCGTTAAGAAAATTATCAGAATTTTGTCAACTTACCAATATTGCTTTGGGGGCATGGGGACATGATTAAGAACTAAGCTTTGTTGCTCCCTCAGTTCTAGAACCAGTTTGTTTTTGTTCCCCTTGGCAACCAATTTTTTAATGTTTGGTGATTTATGGTACATTCCTTACATTGTTTCATTATTTTTAAAAATTATTTTTTGTTATTTATTTATTTTTTGCTAATTTGTTTTTAGGAAATGAGGAAGGAAAAAATATGTAATTGCAATATCAGCCTACCATCCTAACCTGGAATCTATTTCTTAGTGTACTTTCTAATTAATTATGGAGATGCTTTCTTTGTTGTAACTATGGGTTAAGATTGCACTTTTTTTAAATTTGAAATTTAGTGATTGTGGTGGTGGGTAGTGTGTGTTCTTTTGTGTGTGAATGAGAGAGAATGATGGAGTAAACGTGGAATTGGTGTATGAATGAGAGAGAACGAGGAAGGTGGAAATGTGGAATTGAAAATTGAAGAAATGTTTCTAAAACTCTGTTGTGAAAGAGATTAAATTGATTTGATCTGAAAAGTATATATATTTTCAGTTTCGGTGAGGAATGATGGTGCCAACAGTAGCTAATATTTCATGAATCCTTATGCTATTTCAGTAGCTATTAGAGGTATATATAAGTAGCAACTAATTCTTACAACAAACCTCTGAGATAGTACTGATATTATCCCTCATTTTATAAGTTTGAAAATAGCATGAAGTAGAAATAACCTAGAGTTACAACTTGGATCCAGATCCAGGTAATCTGTTTCCCAATTACTAATCTATGAATTTGGTTCAAATTTTATTAGATTTCTAAAGACCGTGTGAATAGGATCTAATCCTCGAATACATTGCAGCTTTATTCTAAGCTATTTAATTTTATGTTTTGTCTAATATAGTTTTTCATTTTAATCATTGTGCTATGAGATTTGCAATATTGTGTAGTATTTTAAGGTGTTATAATAAAATTTCTAAATAAAACAAGAAATATTTCCAAATAAATATTGTTGTTACTTAAAATTTTAGCAGAGAAAATATATTTGTTCATCTCTTCTACATCAGAGTCAATTTTAAGAGAGCAAACGTATATTTTTTCTTATGTCTGCTAGTCTTTACCCTTTTTCAACAAACTTCAATTGGTTGAAGTATGCTCATGTTCTAACTGTATTGCTCTTAAACAATACTCTGCAGGATGAGGCATTTTTTTTTTGAGACAGCTTATATCTTAGAGGTTATCTGTATTCAGCCTTGAATTCAAGCTGTACATTCTTAAATAATATAACTGAATTTTATCTACTGCTAATTACCTTCTTCTGCAAAAAAAGATGTTGTCATCTATTTAATGTACGATTTGTGTGTAAAGTAGCTGACTTGTTTCATTTATTATCAGAGGATTGATGACAGTGTAGATCTGCAATGTGCATCTATTTAGTTCATTGCATGCTTATCATTGGAGTGGGATATCCTTGACATTTTATGCTTTTGGTTTACAGAGAGGTTCCATGAATGTCATGACATCATTGATGAGCTGTACATCTTAACTTTGTTTCTTAATCTTATGGTTATAAACAGAATATTTATGAAAAAAATTATGTCATGCAGAAACATCATACCTTGTAAACATTGTGCATGTGTGAATATACAAGTTTCCTGGCAATCATTTTTGTAAAGAAGGTTGTCTTTTAGAATTTTAGTTTCTTTAAACTAATGTGATATATCTGTAAAACATATGTACTGATGATTATCACTTAATGATTTTTCTTTTAGGAATCTATGTGAGTTAAAATCAACTTCAGTAAGAATTTTCAAAAGGTCTTTGGGCCAATGTTGCTTTGAATTTTATCTAACATACTGTAGAACTCACTTGTTGCTAGCTTCAGTGGAACTGCAAACCAGGTGGTCTCTCGGTTTTTTTGAAGTAATAAAAATGGAGTATTTTTTTTTATTAAATAAAGACCATGAAAGCACTGATTATTATTATTATTATTATTATTATTACTATTATTGTTATTTTGAGACAGAGTCTCACTATGTCACCCAGGCTGGAATGTAGTGGTGCGATTTTGGCTCACTGCAAACTGAGCTTCCTGGATTCAAGTGATCTTCCCACCTCAGCCTCCCGAGTAGCTGGCACTACATGTGCACACCACCACACCTGGCTAATTTTTGTTTTGTTTTTTGTAGAGATCGGTTTTGTCATATTGCCCAGGCTGGTCTCAAGCTCCTGAGCTCAAGCCTCCCAAAGTGGTGGGATTACATATATGAGCCACTATGTCTGGCAAATATAGCAATCTATATATTTTTTAGGTGAAGAATTCAAAGATTTTTTTCCAATTAGCAAGCAAAATATTTTTATTAAAATAGTGAACATTTTTGTGAGTACTTATAAATTTTTAAAAATAAACACTTCTATAGTACCACTTGTTTTTCTGAATTCTTAACAAATATAAAATAAATTATCATAACAGTCCTCTGAGGTAAATGTTATTATCTTCAGCCCAATTTTACAGATAAGAAAACTACAGCGAGGCTCAGTGGTTTGTTTTAGGTCATATAGCTAGTATATGATGAAGCTTGGACTTGAACCAGGGTAGTCTGATACCCAGTATAAACTGGTGATCTCTTTGCTATGTGGCCTAACGTCATCTATTAAGTGATTTAGTACACATTGTCTCATTTCAGTACCACAACACATCTTTGATGTATGTATGCAAGGTAGATTGAGAGAATGTGATTTAGCTTTGATCACAGAACAATTAAATCCATGATTCTGAATTAGAACCCAGGTTTCATAACAATAACCCAGTACAGTCTGTCCCCATAGCCTCTGTCGACTTCATGGCAGTGTTTTGCTATTGTAATAATATATTCTATTATTGAACATATTCTTGACAGTTCTAAAGGAATGTGAAACATTTTAACAATTACATATTTTAGTGTTATGTATTTTAGGGTACTGTATATACCAATTTTAGAGCTAATCATGAGAAATTATTCAATTTTCCTCTTAAGTAGCTGCTTTTCTCCTCATTGATCGATTTTTAAATTTAAACGTGTTTATTTTTCTAATTATAAAAATGAAGTATTTTTTAATATAGAAAATTTAGAAAATAAAAAATGTAAAGAGTGAAAGTCATTTATTGTTTAGCTTGAACATCTGTTTATCTTCGTTGGATTTTGCTTTTTGTTTTTGACTAATTTGAAATAACTATAGATGTAAAACAAGTTGCGAAGGTAATGCAAAGGTCATACCTATTTTTTACCCTATTTTCTTTTTTTTATGCACTGAAACCTCCGCCTGCCTGGTTCAAGCAATTCTCTGCCTCAGCCTCACTAGTGGCTGGGATTACAGGTGCCCACAACCACGCCCAGCTAGATTTTGTATTTTTAGTAGAGACGGGGTTTCACCATCTTGGCCAGGTTGGTCTTGAACTCCTGAGCTCGTGATCCATCTGCCTTGGCCTCCCAAAGTGCTGGGATTACAGGCATGAGCCACTGCGCCCAGCCCAATTAGCAATTTTTATGTTGTCACTAATACACTGTAAGTGATTTTTTTTTTTGTTGTTATCAAGGCTTTGTTGATGAAGGAAACTGGTTCCACTTCTTAAATCTTAACCACCACACGATGTTTGTTTCGAGCTATATCATCAGAACATTTCCTAAACGAAAGTCAGACTCCAAATCATATTTGCTCACAGTATAATTCTTCTTGGGTGTATGGATGGTCTTCAGAGCAATGTAGTTGTGTTTGTCACTAGTGCATCTAAAAAACATAAGGATTTTTCCTTCATATTATCATGTTCAAATATCACTTATTCTTAAAAACAAAATGTTCTCTTAGCAATATCAATGCAGTCTTTAAGTTGTAATGAAAAGTACTTAGCTAGTTTTTGGGTTCTATTAGTAATTGTTCATTAATCAGTTCCTGAATACATTCAGTTCTGGTCTCATTGGCAAGTGTCTGTAACTCACCAACATTTTGAAGAAAATGCTTATGATGTAGTCTTTCACTAACACTTGGCAATTGTGCACACACAAAACATACAAATAAAATATACATATTTAAATTTTGGCAACCTGATGTGGTATTTTATAAGTACACCAAACAATGTAGTTTTTATGTGAAATATTAAATGTCTGCTTTTGTTGGCTTATTCAGTATTCTTTTCAATATTTCATTTGACTTTGAACATTTTTCTTTGCAGTTTTTATTTAAACTGTTTGTTTTTATTATTTTATTTATTACATCTTTGCACATAGCCACACTTTCTTTTTAATTCTTAATTATTTATGGCTACAAAACTACTGCCATCTCTCAACTGTTCAGGACCACCACCAGAATAGCCTGGCAAAGCTAAGTTGATTATATACTGCACTAAATGAGAATGCAACCTTGACAGTATCTTAGAAGGATCTCAGGGTGAGAGGTTGGGGTGGGTATTTATAGAGTTTCTAGGTATGAACTCAAATGGTTTACATCTTAGGTCTTTCAATACGAGGTCTGATTGTGGTTGGGTATAAATTTATCATAGAAGATTTTAGGATTGGGAGAAAGTGAGGCAACGGTTCTGATGTAGGTGTTGATTAGTAAACAGTTGGTAAGTGAAATTTTTTCCTGAGTAACTTATTGTTCTGAAAATGAGACTGTTTGTCTAAATAAGCAGTTTATTATTCAAATACATTGGTGTTCCTGAAGCAAACAGTGAAGTTATTTGTTCTTTGCAATCTTATCTTCCTGGGGTAGGATTTCCTGAAACAAATGGTGAAATAATATTGACTCTGGTGTCTCAGTTTTTAACCCTGCTTGTTAGGTGAATGTGGATGGCCTTGTTTCTCAAAACTGAACTCACTATATTAGCAATCTTAATTTAGACTAAAACTGGTATAAATTCTATTGGAAAAAAATATATTTTAATGAGCAAAAATTAAATATTATACCAACATGTTCTGAAGTGTGTATACATTATGGCTAAACATAGCTAATTAACATATGCATTACCTCACATATCATTTTTCTGTGTTGAGAACACTGAAATCTACTCTCAGCAATTTTTAAGAATACAATACATTGGTATTAACTAGAGTCACCATGTTGTACAATAGATTTCTTGAACTCATTCCTCCTATTAGTTGAAATTTAGGATATAAAATTTTAGTTAGATTGGAATCTTTTCTTGTAATTACTTCAGTTATGATTTGTTTGCTACTATTGATACATTATGAAAAGGCATGTCTTTTTTGTCAAATAAGTCTAGTGAAGTTTGTTTTGCTAATTGTAAACATCGTTAAAACTAGATAATAAAAAATTTACTTCCCATATTAATCAAATACTGTTAAAACATAAATTTAAAATAATAGCTTTCATTAAAATAATTGTAAAAATGTTATATAAACAAGTACATTTGAGTTACAAATTATAAACTGTTCTTGAAATATTAGACATAATGTATTTGTACTGTACATAACTAGTATCCACATAAAGGGAATTCAGTAAGACATAAACTTTATTGAGATGAGTCCACTGATTATGTGGTTGGATGCTGTGGCCATGTCTACTTGCTATAAACCTTTCTAAATTCCCTCAATTTCTATACTTATCTCATTGTGGAGTGTAAAGAAGTGGTACTTAGACTTGCATCAGAAACGTTGATCGACCATTCTTGAATAGCACACCTCTAAACTATCAGACTGGCTCACAAACTAATTGAATATTTTTGTTAGGAGCACACTCATCTGATCTCCATCAGCAGCCACAAATGGTCAAAGTTTATTTCATATTTACCCAGAGATCCTTCTGTTCCTCATGTCTTTGGTTTTATATGGGGAAAATGTGATAATTGTATTTGTCGATTTAATAAAAGTGTCTCTATTTCACTGTTAGCATTGTAAATCCCTTTAACTCCTCCCTAATTTCATCAAACTAGAAGTGATATGTTCAAAACTCATTGCTTTAGATCATCACTTACGGTATCTCAGGCAATACTGTGAACAGGGATAGGCCACATGATTTTATCTGTATTACATTCTTGGGCTTGCATAAAAATTTACTTCACTTATTAGACAAATATTGTTAAAACACAAATTTAAAAGAATAGGTTTCATTATACTTTGCCACGTTACAGTTACATAGGCAAAAAGAGTACTGCCAAAACCAAAAGTTTGAAAATCAATCTCCTGGACTTTTTGCTTGTCATTTCCTTTTGTTGAGTGATTTTTCCGAGTTCCTGAAATCCTCTTCACAGGAAAAATTGTAAGGAATGTTGCCTCCTGAACATAGGACAGAATAATGTAATATGCCAACTTTCCTTCTCTACCTATGTGTAGCAAACAGTGCCTTGTATGACAATGGCTGATGAACTGAGATGTCATTGATTATATTTCTTTATGGTACAGATGATCATACCAACAACATTTTGTGATTGAATTATAAAGAACTGTGGCTGGATGCAGTGGCTCATGCCTATAATCCTAGCCTTTTAGGAGGTCAAAGCAGGAGGATTGCATGACCCCAGCAGTTTGAGACCAGCATGAGTAATATAGCAAGACCCCATCTCTTCAAAAATTTAAAAATTAGCTGGGCTTGGTGGCACATGCCTGTAGTCTTGGCTGCTTGGGAGGCTGAGGTGGGCAGATTGCTTGAGTCCAGGTGGTTGAGGCTGCAGTGCACTGTAATCGGGCCACTGTACCATGGCCCAGGTGACAGAGCAAAGCCCTATCTCAAAACACACAAAATCCAAAAAACCAAAAAACTGGTTTTCTTTGTGGCTTTTCGAAACATAATGTTTCTGTGTGTTTTTGTGTTTCCTCCTAAATGTGTGTGTGATATATTGGAAAAGAACCACTCCTTATTTTGCTTATTAAGTAGGAATCTCTTTGGGTTTTGCCGTTTTGTAGCTTGGTAGTATTCTTTGATAAAGGCTTTTTAGGGATGTTGCTGTTTTCTCTCCTTTACATGTCTTGTCCAGTAGAATTGTAATCGTAGCGTAATTTTTTGGCAGTAAATATTTTGCTATATTCAGGAACTTTTTTGGTGCTTCGTTCTTGCCAGTAAATGTGAAATTTGGTTGTCAGGTGACAAGTTAAGGAATTTTCTGAGGAGAGAACATGACATGAAAATATTACTTCTGGAGAAAAAATTGTAAACTTTTACCTCACTTTATGTTTTGATTAGGACATTGGCATTCCTTTAGACAGCTAAAGGGTTTTTTATTAGTTCAAACAATTGTGAGCACATTATTTTTTTATTCCTATAATATAGTCATCAACATGTTAATGTATCTGGACTATCTTAGAACTTAGGGAATTTGTAGTCATTAAATCTTTAAGGATTACTTACAAGGCCTGGCCCTAACTGGATACTCAAACGTTGAGGATGGGGATACTAATAACATTAATAGTAGCTATGATTTATTGCATACATTTTATGGGTCAGGTATACATTGATTCATTTAATCCTTACAATAAATAACCCATGAGCCAGGTGGGCATTATTTATTATCTCTGTTTTACAGATGAAGAAAAGACAAAGACTGATTAATAAATTGCTCAGTGATTTCAACTCAAAACTTTATGTTCTGCTCTTTTAATCGCTACAGTATACTGCCTGTCCTTGAGTTGCACCAGAAGAATTGAGTAAAAAATGATTTCTCTTCCTTAATGATAAGAAATGGACTAGATAGGGTGTCATTATATAATGATGAGCTCTTCTAAATGAGTACCTTCATAAACCTTGGAAACATCAGTGAGTAAACTTTTGAATTCAGAAGAGACCCATTGATGATACTGAGCATTTTAAAAGGTCTTTTATTGATATTATTGCCTCTGTTCCTGTATTTTTTACATTGCACAAATAATTTTTACTTTGGCACTTTGTGTCCCAATTATCATTACTCTGGTAGGAGAAGTTACACAGAAATGTGTTTAAAAGTAATTTTTACAACTGCTGGACATAAGTACCTTTATAGTTATTGATGGGTTTTTTAATAGTTATTTATAGTTATTGATGGTTTCTTACATATTCTCTAGAAGGTAGTGAATCTTACTAAATAAACTTGGCACTTTGCTTTGACATACCTGACAATGCTATTTTAAAAATACAACTCTTGAAATTATATTGTGGTTGCAAATTTAACTTCCAGCTGGGTGTGGTGGCTCACACCTGTAATCCCAGCATTTTGGGAGGCTGAGGTGGGTGGATCACTTGAGATCAGGAGTTCGAGACCAGCCTGGCCAACATGGTGAAACCCCTTCTCTACTAAAAATACAAAAAAATTAGCTGGGTGTGGTGGTGCACACCTGTAGTTCCAGCTACTCAAGATGCTGGGGCAGGAGAATTGTTTGAACCTGGGAGGTGGAAGTTGTAGTGAGCTGAGATTTTGCCACTGTACTCCATCCTGGGTGACACAGTGAGACTCTTTCTCAAAAAAAAAAAAAAAATTAACTTCTTAGATTTGACTTCTTTGTGTCACTATGTTTCCTATGTTATACCTGAAACCTGTGATTTTTAACCACAAAAGGGTCTCTCTGTGCATACAAATATCACTGCCCTCTAGTTAATAAGATATTCAGGTAAGGCAATTTTTTTTCATTGGGGTTCATACTGAAACTTTCAAATTTTTTTTGATGTAGCTTTCTTTTATACGTCTGTTACTTATTTATGAGATAGCTCCTGGGAATTAGTGGTGCAATCTGTGGTCATGAACTTGCTTTTTGGGGGACATTTAGCTCTCAGTCAGAGATAGAACTGTAAACTTAGCCTGAATAATAGTATCCTTTAGCCAACCGAACTGATATGTTGAGTTTGCAAGCAGAGACGTAAAGTGTAGTTCTAATAAACAAGGGCCTCTTTTTCTTCTAATTAATGAGTCTACATCTTTCCTCACGTTATTGGTACATGAAGATAGATAGCTGTAGGAGGTAAAGCACTCATTCTTCACTGCCTTGTTTAGGGTCAAAGTAATTCACATGTAAGTAATATATAAAGATTAGCTAATTATCTGAAAAAGAAGAAAAATAGGGAATTTGGTACGTCTCTTTGGCTCATGTTTACTACCTGTAATCAAGAGCTGGGCCAGAATATATCCTTTTTCTGTGAATGGAAAATTATCTTAAGGTAATTAAATATAGTATTTTTTTTTCACTTTGACCCAATATTTCTGAGGACCTCTTCCCCCTATTTTTGTTAGCATTTGTTTATTATCTAAAACTTTCTGATTTTTGTCTTTGTGACTTCTTTTCCGAGCTTCAAACCTGTGTGATACCACTGTATACTTGTAATTGCCACTTGAAATTTCTTATAAGAAGCCCCACTTTTGGGGAGAGACTTTCTAAAACTGTATATTCCCCTGTTAACTACTCCTCCATTTTTTCCCATCTGAGAAATATCACTTCCATTTACTTACTTGCTTACATAAATCACCCATTACCCATTTTTTCCCTTACTACACACTTAATGTCTGTCCACCATCAAGTTCTGTTTATTTTGCCTCCAAAAACATTTGTTATCAATACTGTGTTTTGTTATCTTAACCATCACATCTATAGTTCAAAACATTTGGAGTAATCTCTTGTCTTATTTTTCTTCCCCACCTATATTTTCTTTCTTTTACGCAGAATAGCCAGTGTAGTCATTCTGAAATTTAGTATATGTTGTTCATGCATAGAAACATCCAGTTCCTTCCCATTGCTCTTAGGTTAAACCTACAATCCTTAATATCAACCACAAAACCTCATTCTCCATTTACCTTTGCTCCTAGTCACAATACCCTTTTATTCATCTTCTACTCATCTTTTAGATTTTCCTTCAAGTGTCACTTTTACACAGAAGCCTTCTCTGCCTCTCATCCTTTACCCCCACCAATCACCCAATGTAAATCTAACTAAGATCTTTCTGTTATAATATCTCATAGCACTTAATAATTGTTTGTAATTATATATTTTATTCCCTGATTATTTCCTGCCTCGTTCTTTTGTGTGCTTCATGAAGGTAAGAACTCTATGTCTATTCATAACATATCCATAGAGACTTGTACATTGCCTATACATAGTAGGTGCTCAGTAAATAATTATTCAATAAATGAGTACTAATTACAGTCCACACATTTGATTTCTTTTTTACCTGATTAAAAGTAGTAAGGATGGTTCTCTATGGAAACAAATGGATTATGCATGAGAAAGGCCAAGGTAGAATTATTTTCAGCCTATTATTAGCAGGAGTTATAGGTTAATAATAGCGTCTCAAATTACTGCAATGGGTTGCTTTAGGTCTTCAATCCAAAAACATACTGATTGTGCTTGAAATGAAGAAATAAGCCATTTGATTTATGAAATACAAGTTAGCACACTTTACATCAAAATTTCAAGGCGCATTGTTGGCTACATTTTTTGACATTTTCTCTGCTGTTTAAGGGTAACTTAATTTTGAAACAGTGTGTTACAATGTGATAGAAGGAACATGGTTTCCAAAAACATGTTCGGGTTCTAGGCTTCACAATTTATTAGCTGGAGAATATTGGATAAAATTCATTGAACCTCTCTGAGTCTTAATTTCCCTTCTATGAAATGGATATAATGAAACGTTAATAAAAGGTTTATTGTGGAGAGTAAAATTATATAATGTAGGTTAAAACACATTATGAAGTGTGTTAGTGATTATCATTGTTGCTATTATTGTGACCACTAGTGTAGAATTTAAAGGTCATGAATAGCCAAGCCAGAATCTTTGAGAAATTTAACCTGTGTTAAAGGAAAGGGATTATGACTGAAAGGGTTGTATTCATTAACAATTTGAATTTGGATTGTTTTTTGTTCTGAATAGCAATGATCTATGTATACCCCAACTTAAGAAACTCACACTCATAGAATTTTTGTCTCTATTATATAGCCTTTTTAATTCTTTTCTGTTATAAAATGCCAGCTGGCTTAAAATACCGATAAGAAATGCATTTTCTCATATGAACTATTATTTATTTTGTTGGTATCTTTTTTAAAAATTCAATTTTCTAGCATTTTATAAAACATGTTTTACTATAAAGCTTCAAAAATGAAATAGTCAAACTAGCATTTGTGAGATCATAATAAGGATCTGGCAACAGTATAAACAAATTGAAACTTCAGGTAATTTACCAATTCTATTTTTTGATACCATTTTCTTTGTGTTTAAGAAGGATTATTCATTAAGTCTTTTATTTAAGTCATGGAAACCATTTCAGCCCGACTTTATAACATAACTGTAGACCATATATTTATCTCATGATTTCTTCTATCAAGGCATAAAGAAGTGAATTATTGAAAAGATAAAAATAAATTTGTTTGCTTTCTGTCAGAGTTCATATCCACAGGCAACCTTGATAGAAGACCAGAATGATTTAGACAAGTTTGCTTTGGAGATTCATAACATATGCTTGCTGAACAGAATTGAGTTATCTCTGCTCTGGAGAGTAAGTTATTGTAGCAGGAGCTGACAGAGATGAAGATAACTGAGGGAAATTCAATTACCTTTTAGTGTTTTCTTTCTAATAGGATTCTTAATGTGAAAAAGATCCTTAGATGATGCGCCTGTTACTTGTGAGATTTGCCTTGATACCTGTTTCCAGAATATTATGAACTATCAGTTGCAGGCCCTCATTAAGTATGAAATAGGCTGCTTATTGTTAAGAGTAGTTTTGATTGAAAGGACTTATTTTCTTTTACTTGATGTCATAGGTAATTTTTGTATTTATTGACTAATGTCTGGTTTTCTTTAGCAAATTGTGTATTATTTTGAATGAAGTTATTATTTAATACACTGAAAATTTTTTTATTTTAAATGACCTTTCTGGAAGTATGTTGCAGCTTCTCACTATTTATATATTCATGCCTCTGTCTAATTATCATATGCTAGAGCTTGATAACCTTGTTTAAATGCTGCTGGAATTCTCAAGCTTCCATTTTCTCTCTTGCTTTTTGATTCTACCAGACTTTTTTGCTAGAATGGTCTTTATTGTCTCACCCCCTTCCACTGTTCAGTGTCATAGTTTGGCTTCTCTCCTCTCCTTTTCATCCCCAATTCTAGGACAAATGGATTAAACTTGTTGTTTTCAATATCATTACTGATCTACTAATTATATATACAGTGGTCCTTTTTTATTTCTTATCTTCCTTGGTCTCTGCAGTTTTTGACACTGATGACAGACCCTTCCATTTTTAAACTCCTTTTTTGCTTGACTTTCTTGATGTTTTTCTGATTGGTTTTTTATTTCTCATGAATCTTTTATTAGTTTCATCCAATTTCTTTTGCTTTTTTAAAAGTATAGGTCTTTCACAGGAATACTTTCTTTGTAGTTTTAACTTTTCTGTGCTGTTTTAACAATCTCATGTCTACCTTATCTGAAACTTTTATATAGAAGATATTAAGTATTTAAAATTTTTCAATCTATTCATTTAGTTTTTTCTATAGGTAATTTAAAATAAAAAATTATAAGAAAGCACACAGTGAAAAATCTCCTTCTAATCTCTTCCAGGATGCCTTCCACCCCTTATCCTTACAGAAAACCACTGTTAGATGAATTTTTCAGGGTTTCTTTATGCATATGCACTCAAATAGAGATACATATTCCTATCTTTCTTTGTATGAATGCTAGCATATTATAAATAATGTTCTGTATTTTGCTTTTTAAACTTAATATTATTTTCTGAAGAATTTTTATACTTTGATCAACAAAGTGTGAATGTTTCCTTATAGAATGTGTTATGAAGCATATTTGGACTTTTGTCACTTGCATAGGTTATATATGGTAGTGTAGAGTTTTAATTTGTATTTCTCAGTGTTGTTTTAAACTACATTTTTGGTTTTTTATGAGTGAGTTTGATGATCTCTGAACCTTAGTATTTCCCTTTCTGTGAGCATGTCCTTTGCAGCTGTTCCATTGATTGTGTCTCTTTTCTTATTGATTTTGTTTTAGAAGCTCTGCATGTATTAAGGAATCAACTCTGTGATATATGTTAGAATTTTTTCTTTCTTTTTACCAATTTGTTTGTTTGTTTAGTTATGATGGTATTTTTTGTTGCCTTACAGAAGTTAAATTTTTTTTTTTTGTTAAATGTGTGGATATTTTCTCTCATGGATCTCAATTTCTGTTTGGTAGTTGGAAGGGTAGAAACACATAGATTATAAAGGAATTCCCATATGTTTCTTCTAATATTTCTATAGTTTTATTGCTTTAAATTTAAATATTTAATTTATTTGGAATTTATCTTAGTACAGATTGTGTTATTAATTCAATTTATTTTATATGCCTACCTAGTTTTCCCTATGCCACCTACCCGGTAGTCTAAGTTTTCATTTAAGATGCTACTGTTATATACTAAATGCCTGTATGTTTGGGGTCAATTTCGAGTTTGATTTTTTTCCCATTAGTCTGTGTGTGATTTCATATACTAGTGTCAAGCTAGCATATTAATCAATTTAATTATTGAGTCTTTACAATGTGTTTTGATACTAATAGGTCTATGTTCCTCTTGCTTCTCCTCCTCTTCCTCCTTCTTATTGCCCTTTTGAATTTCTTTTTTCAAAATTCTTTGGCTTGTTAATCTAACATTAGATTCAGCTCGTCTGATTCAAAAGAGTGTTTTCATTTGATGCTCTTGGGCTTTTCAGGCATGCACTCACATCTTCTGCAGATATTGATAGTTTTACCAACTTTTATTGGTATCAACTTACCAACTTTAATTCTTGTAATTACGTTTCCTTGTCTAATTGAATTGACTTCTATCACCAGTGTGATGTTAAAAAATAATAGCATCTTTTTCTTGTTCCTGACTTTAGCAGAGGTGTTTCAGTGTTTCCCTACTAAGTATGACATAGCCTTTGATCTGAAGTATATATATATGCTTTATCATTTTAATGAAATATTTATTTAGTACTTTTTATGGAGTTTTTCTGTAAATGAAGAATGTTCAATTTTGTCATCCTTAAGTGGAGCAGTGGAGTTGATATTCATAGTATACTTTTTTTGATGTTACATATGTCAATATTATGCCAATATATTTTGGTCTTAGTTTTTTCTTTAATCTTGCCAGATTGTATCTGCTAATGTTTTGTTTGTAATTGTCATGTTCTATTCTTAAATTGGGTTGTGGTTGTTTTAACTTTCTATGCAATCTTAGTCATTTGTGAGGTTTTAGCTTCAGTGTTATACTTGCCTCTTGTGAATAACTTTACAATTTCCATTCTTTTTTCATGCCCAGAGACAGGGTGGGTAGCATTGGAATTACCCTCTTTTAAAGGTTTGGTGGGATTCACCTTTAATGTTACTGACTATAATGCAGACCTCATTTCCAGTTTCACATTTTCAAAAATCTGCCATATTTCTTTACCTAGGTGTCTTCTTACCCGTTTATATTCACTTTGTCTAAAACTTAAATTCATTGTTTTTCCTTCCCAGATTTTCATTAGCTTTATTAATAAAAGCAAAATGGTATGAAATTGGGAAATATACACTTCATTCTAGACGGTTACCGGCTCTTAAGAATCAGGAGCCCCTGGTACTATTGAAGGGGGAAGAGGATTTGGGCAAATAACTTGAAGTCTGTGCCATAATCTGCCTTTACTTTTCTATTTTTAAACTTCTGTCAAATTTTTATTCATGTAGTACATGATACATCACTTCATGTGAATTCATTTTTTTATGTAACCAGCAATATTACAATTATTACATTACTCGGTACAACAAGCCATTTCCGTAGTATAGAATCTGCTGTATGTGTTAAGTAAATACTGAAATCTTAGTCTATAAAAATGACTTTGAGTCACATATTCTTATTATGCAAAAGAAATTTTGTCATTAATTGTCATTATCAATTATCATTGTTAAATAGACTGAATTTAACAATTTTCATGGCTTGGTTGATGCTATTTTTACATGATAGTCCAATCTAGTGATTATCAATTTATTACAAATTATATTTCATTTTACACAATCACAAAAAATATAAATTCTGTGCTGCTGCTTCAACTTATTTTGTAATTTATTTCATTGTGTTTGTATAAGAACTATAAGCATATGAAATGCTTCTATATATGTATAATGTAGATATGCCCAAATCTATTGTTATTGGCACTATTATATAAATGAAATCAAAAATTCTTTTAAAAATAGAATTCAGGTACTTCCCAGAAGGTTAACCTGAAATACCCTGACCTAAGAAAAATTTGATTTAGATCAGTGGCTCTTTTTGTGTTTTAATTCATTAATTTTTGAGCTGGAGAATACTGTAGCAAAGAAAAGAAGAAAAATATAACAGTAAATAATAATAATAATAATGATAATAATAAAAAGAGAACCTTCTCCAGTATCTTTGCCCCACCAAGAGGCAAGACAATGTTTTGGCACATAGCATTTTAGGCTTTTTATTATGAGTGTTTATTTGTGTATCTATTTCATAATATAAAACAAATATAAAATACACACATAATTGTTTTGAGTCGGCGTCTGGCTCTGTGGTTTAGGCTGAAGTCCAGTGGTGGGATCATGGTGCATTGCAGCCTCAAACCCCTGGGCCCAAGTGACCCTCTCACCTCAGCCTCCAAGGTTAGCTGGGACTACAGGTGTGCCTCACCATTCCTGGCTAACATTAAAAAAATTTTTTTTTGTAGAGATGGGGTCTTGCTATATATTGTGCAGGAGAGTTCCAAACTCCTGGACTCAAGTGATCTTCCCACCTTGGCCTCTCCAATTGCTGGGATTACAGGCATGAGCCACTTAGTCTGGCTCAAAAATGGGATATTAGGTGAAATGTTCTGTTCTTTATATTTTGAGTTAATAGTTCTTTTTTTTTTTTGGGCTAATGGACTCTTTGAGAATCTAACCTTGATAAATTCATACAAATATAACACATTTTACATGTAATTTTTACATGTTTATGGATTCTGTCTTGAGATTTTCTTATGTAAGGGTCTGTATGGTTTGTATGTATCACTTCTCTTATTACAATCATGTAGGAGAAATCGTTAAAGGCTGACCTTTACTACCTTTTGTTTTGTTATGGACGTTACATTAGCAATTTCTGGATTATATTCTTCTTGGACAACTTGTGAGAATTACTTTTAACCATTAAAAATGTTTTGAAATTATTGGTGACTACTGAGGGAAACAAATATTACATATTGACTTCTTTATAAAAGGTTCTGTTTTATTTTAATTTCAACATCTGGTATAGGCTTGGAACATAGGAAGCTCCCAAAGAATTGCTGAATGAATGAAATTGTCAGTAATAGAAGACATATGTTAGGATTAAAGAAGATTTCCATATCCAGCTAACATAAATTTGAGGAATCAGTTTTTTCATTTGAGATCCTAGATTCTTTAATATTAAGATAATGTTTCATTAAAAATTACCTTCTGTTTGTATCCTAGTAGATACAGCAAGTAAGAAAGTAATCACTTTGTTCCCTAGCATTGCTTACTGGATTGTCGCTGTTTTTCTTAATGAGCATTTAATGATGTATAAAGGCAAATACTTTTTTTTTCTTTTGGAGACGAAGTCTCGCACTGTCGCCTAGGTTGGAGTGTAGTGGTGCGATCTTGGCTCACTGCAATCTCTGTCTCCAGGGTTCAAGCGATTCTTACGCCTCAGCCTCCCGAGTAGCTGGGATCACAGGCGTCCACTATGACGCCTGGCTAATTTTTGTATTTTTAGTAGAGATGGGGGCTTCACTATGTTGGCCAGCCTGGTCTCGAACTTGTGATCTCAGGTGATCCCCCTGCCTTGGCCTCCCAAAGTGTTGGGATTACAGGTGTGAGCCACCATGCCCGGCCGGAATTTAAATCTCTATGAAAATTATTTCTGAACTTAACAATTTGATGGTTGAAATATGGACTTTGTATAATACTTGGATTTTTTTTAAGGGTTGAGTTGGTTTGTTAAAGCATGTTTAAATTCATGCTTAAGAGCATGAATTTAAAATATTTAATTACACGTAAGTTGTAAAATCGTTTTTGCAGTCTGTAGTGTATGATAGAAAGCACAGATTTGGGATTTGTAAGAACTAGGATTTAGGCATTGTTCTGCCACTAATTAACTATGTAGTGTTGGATAGGATACTTAATTTCTTTGTAATAATATGAGGTTCCTTAAAGCTCATTAGTGTAGTCTCAAATCTGTAGCTTGTAATATTTTTATTCTAAAACATAGGTTGTAAAATGGCAGTATTAGTTATTTGGAGTCTCACCTATGTAATTATCTTGGTATTTCCTTTTCATTCACTTTTGTCGATGATTGAAACTACACCTTGAATATTTGTTATTTCTGTTTACCTTGCTCTTTTCTAATGACTTTATATGTTTTTTCCTATGTGCATGTGAAATTGGTAGAGTGCAAAATGTCTTGAGCTGTGTAAAGATTAGTTAAATGACAAACTTTTTTCCCACCTTTGTCCATTATCTCATTTTTACCATTACTGAATTGAACTCCCCATTTTGTTTCTCATTTAGTGGTTAAAATACAGTGCAAACGAAATCTTATAATACTATTTTTTCTTACTAGCTTTTAAAGTAAACTCATAATTAGGAAATAGTGCAAAAGTAATTTTATGTGAACCTGCTATTTATGCTTTCCTGTTTGTCTTTTCTTCTTTATTCTCCCGCTTGATTTTCTCCTAACTTTTTCCCCTATAGTTTTCTGTTTCTAGTTGGCCACCTTATCTTAAAAACCCTTAGTGAGAAGAAGGATGGTCAAAGTCAAGGACAACTTTTTTAAAACTAAGAATACCATTCTTTGGCCCAGGATGGTTCTGCCTCAGTGATTAATGTACCCCTTTCTCTTCCCACATTCCTCCCTTGATATACACTTTGTGTTGATCACTTTTGTCATTTAGTGAAGAGATGATGGATTGATAGATTTTGTGTCATCATAGCTTGATAGCAAAGTATTAGAATGTCAATTCTCATTCCAGTTTTGATATCTACTACCATGGCGGTTTTGGACATTTTAGTTAATGTCTTTATTTATATTTCTGCATCTCTAGCATAGGAACCACGAAATGCTAAGCTTGACAATATTTGCTTTATATATACACAGTCATGCACCACATAATGATGTTTTGGTAAATGACGCACCACATGTACAGTGGTGGTCCTATGAGATTTTAATGGAGCTGAAAAACTCCTGTTGCCTACTGACATTGTAGCCATTGTAATGTCATAGTGTAACTCATTACTCACGTGTTTGTGGTAAGGCTGGCAGAAGCAAACTTGTGTTTCCATTCGTATGAAAGTGCAGCACAATTATATAATACTTGGTAATGATATTAAACGACTGTGTAACTGGTTTATGTATTTACTATACTATGCTTGTTATTTTAGAGTGTATTCCTTTTACTTATTAAAAAAAAATGTTAACTGTAGAACAGCCTCAGTCAGGTCTTTCAAGAGGTATTCCAGAAGAAGGCATTGTCATCATAGGAGATGAGAGCTCCATGCATGTTACTGCCCCAAAGACCCTCCAGTGAGACAAGATGTAGAGGTGGAAGGCAGTGATATTCATTATCTTGACCCTGGATAGGCCTAGCCTAATGTGTGTGTTTGTGTCTCACTTTTTAACAAAATTTAAAAATTGAAAAAATGAAATTTGAAACTAGAATAAGGTTTATAGATCAGGCACAGTGTAATCCCAGCACTTTGGTCAAGGTGGGAGGATTGCTTGAGTCCAGGAGTTTGAGACCAGCTTGGGCAACATAGGGAGACCTTGTCTCTACAAAAAATAAAAAAGTTAGCCAGGGGTGTGGTGGTACACCCCTGTAGTCCTAGCTACTCAGAAAGCTGAAGTGGGAGAATCACTCGAGCCCAGTGAGTTGAGGCTGTAGTTAGCTGTGATCGTGCCACTGCACTCTAGCCTCTGTCTCACCAGAGCAAGACTCTGTCTCAAAAAAAAAAAAAAGGAAATTATAGAATAAGGATATAAAGAAAGAAAACATTTTGGCACAGCTGTACAATGTGCATTTTAAACTGTGTTATTAAAAAAGAGTTAAACAATTTTAAAAAATTTTAAGTTTATGAAGTAAAAATGTTACAGTGAGCAAGGATAATTTATTATTGAAGAAAATAATTTCTAATTAACTTAGCATAGCCTAACTGTGCAGGGTTTATAAAGTCTACAGTAGTATACAGTAATATCCTAGACCTTCACATTCACCCACTACTTGTACACTGACTGACCCAACGCAACTTCAAGTGCTGCAAACTCCATTCATGGTATGTGCCCTGTACCATTTTTTTTGTTTGTTTTATACCCATTTTTACCATACCTTTTCTGTGTTTAGGTATACAAATACTTACCATTGTGGTATAGTTGCCTACAACATTTAATACAGTAACATACTGTACATATTTGTATGGCTCCTAGGCTATAAACAGTATGATGTATGCCCTCGTCATTAAGCCATGCATGACTATATATACAAATATAAATTGTGGCTTTTCTGTTTTCTATCATTGTTATTTTCTTCACCTTTGATAAAAATAATATCAATAAATATGAAAGATAAAATGCCGGTTGAGTATCCCGTATCCAGAATGCTTGGGACCAGAAGTGTTTCAAATTTCAGGTTTTTAAAGATTTTGGAATATTTGTATTATATTACTGGTTGAATATCTCTAATCTGAAAACCTGGAAATCAGAATGCTCCAATGAGCATTTTCTTTGAGGGTCATGTTGGTGCTCAAAAAGCTTCAGATTTTGGAGCATTTTGAATTTTGAATTTTTGGATAAGGGATACTCAACCTCTACCAGTATAACCAACTGACAAGTATTCAAGTTCTTTTTAATGTCCAAATTGCTAGGGTTTGAATACCCAACCAGTGAGACATGATTACTCTGCAGCAGTTGACCTTAGCTCTGACTACCTCATCAGATAAAATTGTTGACTAGTCTTGGCATTGTCATTCACTAAACCATGTGAAGTAAGACACCACTGCTGCACCTTTACATCAGGATAATAATGATGTTTACCTGTAGCTATGTTGTCAGGAATAAATGGGATTTGATAAACCTAATGTACCCATTACTCTGAATCCATATTAAGTGTTTAATAACAGCTATTTTTTTCTTCAAGTAATCTCTGGAAATTGAATGCTTATATGTGCCACAGTGAATCTAGGACTCTTATCTCTGCCATCAGGTTCCTATCTACACTATTGCTGGATAGAGTTGTATCAGAGCTCTGGAGAATACCTCTTCCCATCTTACAAACAACTTTTCCAGGCAGTAGCTGTTTTTCTTTATCCTGTTGCCCAAAGCGTGGACATAGACCTCTCCTTTTCTCTTTTGTGGGCCTTGCAATGATAGAAGGGCATCACAGTGCAGAAGAGGAAAACAAAACAATACTAGATATTGCATCTCCTAGGATTCATAGGCCACACTCTTGAACAGGCAGTTTTTCTTGACTCTGTCTCCCTCTTTCCCCAGGTCGTCTCCCTTTGCCATGCTGCAGAAGCCAGTTTAGCTCTCCAACAGTGAGAGCTCTTTTGACCAGATTCTTTCTCGAGTTCAGGATCACCTGCTTCCTCTCTTAGAGAAGAATCTTGCTTTTTCCTCAGTCCAGTGTTACCCTTTTTTCCTGCCTCAGGTTGAGTGACAACGGCACCATCAAATTTTTTTAAGGAAACTCTTACCCCAATTTATCATATATGTTGTAGCGTCTATAGACCTGGACTATGCAGTAATAATATTTTTCAGTTTTCATATCCAAAGTCTTGTGTATTTAGTCTGGAACACACTATTTTTAGAGGTTCTTCCATGATGTGTTTTACTTGTCATACTCTCAACTTTAGCTTTTTGAAAATGACCAGGTTAAAAGAAAGGCCTCAATATTTTCTGCTGTTACTCTTCTGTAGGTATCTTTTGAACATCATATTCTTACCTGTATAAAGGACAGGTATATACATACATATAACAAGAAATAATAATTTTTGAGCTGTTTGTGAAACTAAAGGAACTATCATTGGTGGGATAAAGGAAGACCACTTAAAAGTGAATCGATGAGATTTTGTTTGCAAATTGTTAAGTGATGCTGCACCAGGTTAAAAAAACAGCTATTTTACTCGGATGCTTACTATTACTATATTTCTATTAAAGCTAGCAAGCTAGAAAAAGCAAAAGGTTTATATGTAGGTAAAACTGTTGCAGGCATTGTTGATCAAATTAAATCCAAACTGGAAGAGTGTTTTTTCATTATCTTCTCAGTATGTTCTTGTAAAATATATTTTGAAAACCAGACCTTTTAATGCATTGAAAATCTCTTCAAAGAAAATGTCTGAATATATCCCTCATAGATATATCAAGCCTTTACTTAAGCTTTCAGTTTATGGTATCTTCTGGTTATCTTAACCATAGACCAAATTATGTACTAATGTAAAGCCTTCCTTTTCTTAATGGATTTTAAAATAAAGATTAATAAGAAACTAAGCTAATTAAAAATCTTTACAGTGTATTTTATACAACATTTGTTTATAATTTAGACTTTTCTCATGTGCACTTAGAATATTGGCTATTGTTGTTTCTGGTTTATTAATAAAAATTAAAGCACTGAATATAAGACCAAGCATTTTATAATACAAAGTATTTTATTTTGCAAAGCAAGTATTTTACCATACAAAGCAAAATGGAAATACTTGAGTTGATAAAAATAGTTTCCTTCTACTTACCTTTTTATATTAGTGCTGTTTAAGTATGGTCTGCTGACTAAATTACTTCTTAGTAATCCACAAAGAGCTGAGTACAGAAATTGAATATTTAAAAAGTTTTATAGCTTGAATGTCTGGCAATGTCATCAAAGGCATCAGTGCTAAAGGTGTTTAAAAAGGTTAAAAAAAAAACAAAACTGGCCCTTCCCTACAGGTAGTTTGAGAAACAGTATTTATAACCCAGTTAATATTCAGGTGTGTTGTTTTGAAATGGTCTGTGTTGGCAATACATTTGAATATGAATTAAAGAAATTATAACATTATAACAATCATCAGCTGAGAAATACAAATCTAGTTAATATTTTGTATGTTAAATGATTTATATAAACCTTTGAGGAATAATTCCTTTATGAAGGTAATTGGTAAAAAAAATGTATTAGTTACCCAAGAAAAATATAAACATGTATCAGGATATTTAAAAAGAGAAGGCTCTTTATTACATGTCTCATTCTGTTATTCCTATCTTTGCTTAAAAAAATGCATTTATTTGAGCTTGTTCTCTTAGTTTTTGACCTCTTTTATTTTCTACATTTTATTTTTTCTATCCCTTTCTTCTTGGTGAACAGGTACTTAGCCTTTAATTCCTCTGTGAAACTCTCCCTGTTTTTTTTTTTTTTTTTTTTTTTTTTCTGAGACAAAGTCTCACTCTGTCACCCAGGCTGGTGTGCAGTGGTGTGATCTTGGCTCACTGCAACCTCCACCTGCTGGGTTCAAGCACTTCTCTGCCTCAGCCTTCTGAGTAGCTGGGATTACAGACTCCTGCCACCATGCCAGGCTAATTTTTGTATTTTTAGTAGAGATGGGGTTTCACCATCTTGACCAGGCTGGTCTTGAACTCCTGACCTCATGATCCACCCGCCTTGGCCTCTCAAAGTGTTGGAATTACAGGTGTGAGCCACTGCGCCCGGCCTTTTTTTTTTTCTTTTTTCTTTTTACTTTTTTGAGGCAGGGTCTCTTCTGTCACCCAGGCTGGAGTAGAGTGCTGCAGTCTCGGCTCAGTACAGCCTCAACTTCCTGGGCTCAAGGAATCCTCCCACCACAGCTTCCCAAGTAGCTGGGACTACAGATGTGTGCCACCATGCCCGGCTAATTTTTGTATTTTTTTTTTTTGTGGAGATGGGACTTTGCCATCTCTACAGGCTGGTCTGGAACTCCTGAGTGCAAGGTATTCATTTGCCTGCCTCGCCTCCCAAAGTGCTGGGATTACAGACATGAGCCACTGTGCCCAGCCTCTCCCTGATTCCTAATAGTTCCTTCTTTTTCTCTCTTTCCAAACATACTGTCTATAACTCTTTGAGCAGTTATCTCATAGTTTATTTCTTTCTCATATTGTATTTATTTTACTAAACTACAGTGAGATGCTGGAAGACAGGGACTATTTGTTACGTATTTTGATAACATCACAATTAAGCCTACAATAAATGTTAGGTGTTACCTTTATATGACTGGCAATGTTCTAATCATTTTATGTCTATTCTTGATCCTCCTGAAAAGCATACCACATCATCTCCTCTTTTATATGAGGAAACCGAGGCACAGGGTTTCAAATAACTTGCTTAAGCATGAATGTGTCAAAACCAAGAGTTAAAACTCAAGTCATCTAGCTCTAGAGTTGGTGCTCTTAACTACATTGTTAATTATGATTTTTATACATAATTGCTTATTTTCTTTCTGGTTTTCATGCTTGTTCTTGAACTGCTTTTATTTGAAATTTATTTTTGTTTTTGAGACAGGGTCTCACTCTCTCACACAGGCAGGAATGCAGTGGCCTGATTATGGCTCACTGCAGCATAACCTCCTGGGCTCAAGCAATCCTCCCGCCTCATCCTCCCAAGTAGCTAGGACTACAGGTGCATGCCACCATGCCCAGCTGATTTTTCTATTTTTTGTAAAGATAGGACTTTGCCATGTTGCCCAGGCTGGCTTTGAACTCTCCTGGCCTCAAGGGATTTGCTGGCCTCGACCTCCCTAAGTGCTGGAATTAGAGGTGTGAGCCACCATGTCTGGCCTTGATATTTAAGTGTAAGATTTACCTATTTGTAGTAGCAAATATATTTATTCATAAGTAGGAGACCTTGCTAATACAACTAAAAGACCCTAGTTTTTTATGCTTTTAAAAATCCATTGGTTAGGTAGAGTTAAAAGATGATAGGATTTGCTTAAGATCATCTAACTCTTTTGCAGATTAGCAGAAAGTAAAGTTTAAGAAATTAAAGCTTCTTAATTTTACCTCTCTGTGTGTAACCATTTATACATATTTTGTGAAGATACACAGTCATCCCTCTGGATCCATGCGGAATTGGTTCCAGGACTAACTGCAGATCAAAAATTGGTCAAGGCCTGGTGCAGTGGCTCACACTTGTAATCCAAGCACTTTGGGAGGCTGAGGCAGGAGGATCACTTGAGGCCAGGAGTTTGAGACCAGCCTGGCCAACACTGAGAGACCCTGTCTCTACAGAAAAATATTAGCTGGGCATGGTGATGTGTGCATGTAGTCCCAGTTACTCATGAGGCTGAAATGGGAGGGTTGCGTGAACCTGGGAGATGGAGGCTGCAGTGAGTTGTGATCATGTCACTGCACTCCAGCCTAGGTGTCAGAGTGAGATTCTGACTCAAAAACAAAACAAAACAAAAAATTTGGTCGAATCTGTAGATGTAGAACCTGGGGATACAGAGAGCTGATTGTTATTTTTGTCTCATACTATAGTTTTAAAATATAATTCTGTGGTTTCAACCCTATCCTTTGCTTACATTTTATGTTATTACTATTTTCTTGAACACAGATAGCAGCCATAGTTTACTTTATTTTCCAAACAGATGTATGATGTGTGTTTGCATTGTTGAAGGATTCACTTTGTCTTTTTGGAAGATGCTTAGGTATTTGTGGGTTTTATTGTTAATAAGTACTCTAAAGAAATAATGAAAACAAAATATTATGTGTGGAATTGGCACACAAGTAGAAACTATAGCCTTCTTATTAGTGTCGGCTTGTTTTTACAAATATTATATATACTTCTGTTAAGAGTTCACAGAAAAAAAAAGCATTTGAAACAAGTTTTTTATTACCAAAAGTGTGAAGCAAAAAAATAGAATAACCTATATTAATCTTCAAATTATTTAAAAATATTGTCTGAGGACTATAGTTTGTAACGATAAGAACCCAACATGTTGTATCCAGTCTATTAAAACAAGAAGAAATGGAAGAGATACTTTGATAAGTGTTCTGCCTGTTTTAACCTTGAATGCTGTTATGGGGGGAAGGGAGGAGGGGGTTGCTGCTCTGTCTGTTTCATTGGCTTAGGCTTTTTCATGCTGAGAGAAATCAATACTTTGAGTCGTTGCATGACAGAGGAATCACTACAGAATTAAAGGTGGCTGTCACACATTGTCATTGGTTGACTTTTGTTTGCTGTTGAGATTTTCTAAGCTTTCATTTTTCTGTCTTTTCTATGAGTCTTTCTGAGTTTCTGTAGATAGCTTTTTTTTTTTTTTGTTAAAGATCACACTTTAAGGTAAGGGATCAAGTACAAAGACCTCCAAAAGTGAAATACTGAGAAACTTCTTCATTTATTGTCCCTGAAGTGATTTCACTTTTAAATTGTTTTCAGTGAGACAAGTAATTTATAGTGTAAGTGATTTTGAGACAAATTGAGAAGGAAAGTACTACACTTAAACGTGTTTAGCAGAAGCAATGCTTGGTTAACTAAAAATGTAATCATCTGTTTGTAGCCATGTAAAAGAAAGAAGGTCCTGACATGGAATGATGTACAGTTTGATTCCATTATATAGGAATGACATCTTACTCTAAACAGTGACTACCTCTGTAGAAAGCAGCTGACCAAACAGGGAGGAGGTAGAAGAGAGAAATTTCTTTTTCTTTTTTATGTCGTTCTTTGATTTGTTTTTAAAAGCAAGTATATGTTTCTTTTAAAAGTCTTTAAAAGAGGTTTTAAATACAAAACTTGTGAGACCAAAACAAATTGTTTAATTAGCATTAAACATTATTAATTTAGGAAAAGGGCTTGCTATTTTAGCATTAAAATTGTGTGTAGTTTATTTTTATTTCAAAACTTAACAAGAACTTAATTGCAAACTTAATAAAAATTTGCTTTTTATAACCTATTTCTTAAAAAACTTATTACTCTGAAAACCTAACTTTAGAAACAATGTATGTTTAACATCATTAATTTAATTTTTTTGTGATACTGAAACGAAGAGTTTGTGAGAAGTTTTCTAGCCTTCCAATCACAACCCCTTTCTGCCCTGTTAAGGTAACCACTGTTCTGAATTTTATGGTTGACATTTGCTTTTGTTTTATTCTTTCAAAACTTAAGTATGTTTCTTTTAGCACTGTAATTTCTTGCCCAATTTTTTTTTTTTTTTTTTTTTTTGAGACGGAGTCTCGCTCTGTCACCCAGGCTGGAGTGCAGTGGCGGGATCTCGGCTCACTGCAAGCTCCGCCTCCCGGGTTCACGCCATTCTCCTGCCTCAGCCTCCCAAGTAGCTGGGACTACAGGCGCCCGCCACTACGCCCGGCTAATTTTTTTGTATTTTTAGTAGAGACGGGGTTTCACCGTTTTAGCCGGGATGGTCTCGATCTCCTGACCTCGTGATCCGCCCACCTCGGCCTCCCAAAGTGCTGGGATTACAGGCGTGAGCCACCGCGCCCGGCCCTTGCCCAATTTTTGACCCTTATATAAATGGAATTATAAAACATGTATTTTATTCTGGAAATTTTATTTCAACATTATGTTTCCAACATTTAATTATTTTCTTACATTTTTCAACTTCTCTTTCATTACTACATAGTATTCCATTATGTATAGACTGCTAGCTGTTCATTACCTCTTTCTACTGTTGATAGGTAATTGGATTATTTCCAATTTTTAGCTATTCCGAATATGTAGACCATTAGTTTTTAAATAATCTCTTCTGTTTGTTTGGTTGTTTTCAGTGTTTAGCTATTATGAATAATGCACTTTGAATATTTTATATGTCTGGCGTACATCCTTGTGCATTTCTGTATGGTGGAATTACTTGATTACAAAATGTTCATATTTTCACTTTTAATAGATATTGTCACACTATCTTGCAAAAGTATATACCACTCCCAGCCTCAGTGTAGAATTGTTCTTTATTATTCAGCATTCTCATCAACAGTTGACTGGTGATTTTTATTTTGGCATTCTGATGTACTTTTATTTTGAATTTTTAAAAGAATTGAGTCTATTCTCCTGCTTGTTATATATTATCTATTTTTTACTTTTGTGAAGTACATGTTGCTCTCTTACCCAGTTTCTTATTGGTTATCTGTCTCTTCCTCATTGATTTGTAGAAGGTATTTACCTATTTGCTATATGAGCCTATTTTTTGGTATGAGCATTTTAACTGCTTCCTCCATCTATACCTTGTCCATCCACTTTTTAAAAACTTCTTGCTGGGCATGGTGGCTCATGCCTGTAATCCCAGCACTTTGGGAGGCCGAGGTGAGTGGATTGCTTGCGCTCAGGAGTTTGAGACCAGCGTGGGCAACATAGTGAGACCTCATCTCTACAATAAATCGAAAAAATTAGTTGGGCATGGTGGTGCATGCCTCTAGTCCCAGCTACTTGGGGGACTGAAGTGGCAGGATCACTTGAGCCCAAGAGATTGAGGTTTCAGTGAGCCAAGATCACACCACTGCACTCCAGCCTAGACAATAGAGTGAAATCCTGCCTGAAAAAACAAACAAACAAACAAACAAACAAACACTTCTTAAATAAACTTTATTGAAGTATAGTTTGCATGTAATAAAATTTTAAGTATACAATTTGAGGAGTTTTGATAAAGGTGTATATCTGTGATTTTACCATTATAATAAAGATATAGGAAATTTTGTCATCCTAGAGAATTCCCCTGTGATCCACTGTGGTCAATTCCTCTCCATATACTCATATCCAATCCCAGACAACCAGTGATCTGATTTCTGTTATTATAGATAGTTTTATCTGCTATAAAATTTTATATACATGGAATCAAATAGTAGGTACTCTGGATTATTTTGGTCAGCATAAACTTTTTGATATTCGTTCACATTGTTGTGTGTATTATTGGTTTGTTTTTTTAAATACTAAGTTGAATTATTTTGTTTATCCATTCAGCTATAGGCAGACATTGGGTTGTTTTCAGTGTCTGACTTTTATGACTAAATGCACCATGGGCATTTTCATACAAGTTATTTTTGTAGAAATATGTTCTTATTCCTTTTGAGGAAATACCTAGGAGTAGGATTGCTACATGCTACTGTAAGTATATGTTTAAGCTTACAAGAAATTGACAAACTATTTTCCAAAGTAGTTGACGACTTTACAATTCAACCACCAAGGTAGGTATGAGAGTTCCAGTTGTTCCATGTCCTTGTCAGTGCTTGGTATTGTAGCTCTTTTAAATTTCAGCCGGTCTAGTGGGTGTATAGTGATAGCTTATTGTGATTTTTATTTGTATTTCTCTACTGACTAAGCATCTTCTCATGTGCTTTATTAGCCATTTGTATATCTTTTGTGAAATGCCTGTTCAAATCCTGTGCTAATTATTTTTAATTAGGTTGTTTGTCTTATTGAATTGTATGAATTCTTTATATATTCTGTAAAGAATTCATTTGTCATTTAGATGTATGTTAAATTTTTTTTCACAATTTGTGGCTTACCTTTTATTTTATAAATGGTTCTTTTAAAGAGCAGGTGTTGGGCCAGGCATGGTGGCTCAAGCCTGTAATCCCAGCACTTTGGGAGGCCAAGGCGGGCAGATCATGAGGTCAAGAGATTGAGACCATCCTGGCTAACATGGTGAAACCCCGCCTCTACTAAAAAATACAAAAAATTAGCTGGGCATGGTGGCAGGCGCCTGTGGTCCTAGCTACTCGGGAGGCTGAGGCAGGAGAATGGCGTGAACCTGGGAGGCGGAGCTTACAGTGAGCTGAGATTGAGCCACTGCACTCCAGCCTGGGCGACAGAGCGAGACTCTGTCTAAAAAAAAAAAAAAAAAAAAAGACCAGGTGTTTTAAATTTTGATAAAGTTTATTTTGTCAGTTTTTAAATTCTTGTGATTTTCTTCTATGCTTTCTGTTATGCTGTCCAGTCTAACAACATTGCCTATCCCAAAGTTATAAAAAAAATCTGCTGTTGTGTTTTGGAAATGTTATAGTTTTAACTTCTAGATTTATATCCTTGATCCAGTTTGAATTAAGTATTTTTTGTATGATATTAGGTGAAAGAAAAGATTCGTCTTTTTTTTTTTCTCATGTGGATAGCCAGGTGTTTCAGTACCAGTTGTTTCTTCATTTTGTCATCTCTTTCTTCATCTAATAACCAGTGCTCTTCATTTCTAGTTTTATAATATGGTGGGAAGGGTGTGAAGTCTTACAACTTTGTTTTCTAAAGTTACTTTGCTGTTATTACCTTTTTTTTTTTTTTTTGAGATGGAGTCTTGCTCTATTGCCAGGCTGGAGTGCAGTGGCGTGATCTCGGCTCACTGCAACCTCCAACTCCCTGGTTCAAACGTTTCTCCTGCCTCAGCCTCCTGAGTACCTGGGATTACAGGCGTGTGCCACCATGCCAAACTACTTTTTTTGTATTTTAGTAGAGATGGGGTTTCACCTTGTTTTCTAGGGTGGTCTCGATCTCCTGACCTTGTGATCTACCTGCCTCGGCCTCCCAAAGTGCTGGGATTAGAGGCATGAGCCACAGCGCCCGGCCTACCTTCTGTTTTTATATGTGTTTTAGAATCAGCTTTTCAGTTTTATAAAAATTGCTAAAAATTTTTATTAAGATTGTGTTGAATATATAAAATCAATTTTTAAAATGTTGAATCTTTAAATCTATAAACTGTATATTTTGTATACATAAATTATATATTTCTTCATTTATCTAGCTTCTTAATTTCTCTTAACTATTTTATGGTTTTATTTTTTATAAGATCTGTATAAATTTTAAAATATAGCTAAGTATTTCATATTTTTCATGCTGTTGTAAATTTTTTTTTCATTATTATTTCTTCTTCTTTTTGGCTCTGTCACCCAGGCTGGAGTGCAGTGGCACAATCTCGGCTTGCTGCAGCCTCTGCCTCCAGGGCTCAAGCCATCCTCCCACCTCAGCCTCCCAAGTAGCTAGGACTAAAGGTGCATGCCACCACACCGGGCTAATTTTTGTATTTTTGTAGCTATGGGGTTTCACCATGTTGCCCATGCTGGTCTTCAACTCCTATGCTCAAGCGATCCTCCTGTCACAGCCTCCCTAAGTGCTGAGATTACAGATGTGAGCCATCTTGCCCGGCCTCAGTATTATTTCCTCTTAAATGTTTGGTGGAATTCACCGATATAAACATGTGGGCCTGAGATTTCTTTATGGTAAAGTAGTTGAGTTCAATTTCTTTAATAGAGAATATATCTATTAACATTTTCCATTTCTGTTTTTTTTTTAAATCTTTTAGGACTTTTTAAAAATATTTATTTATTTATTTATTATACTTTAAGTTCTGGGATACATGTGCAGAATGTGCAGGTTTGTTACATAGTTATACATGTTCCATTGTGGTTTGCTGCACCCATCAACCTGTCATCTGCATTAGGTATTTCTCTTAATGCTATCCCTCCCCTTGCCCTCCATCCCCATACAGGCCCCGGTGTATGATGTTCCCCTCTCCGTGCCCATATGTTCTTATTGTTCAGCTCCCACTTATGAGTGAGAACATGCGGTGTTTGGTTTTCTGTTCTGGTGTTAGTTTGCTGAGAATGATGGTTTCCAGCTTCATCCACGTCCCTGAAAAGGACATGAACTCATTCTTTTTTATGGCTGCACAGTATTCCGTGGAGTATATGTGTCACATTTTCTTTATCCAGTCTAACATTGATGGACATTTGGGTTGGTTCCAAGTCTTTGCTGTTGTGTATAGTGCCGCAGTAAACATACCTGTGTATGTGTCTTTATAGTAGAATGATTTATAATCCTTTGGGTGTATACCCAGTAATGGGATTGCTGGGTCAAATGGTATTTCTAGTTCTAGATCCTTGAGAAATTGCCACACTGTCTTCCACAATACTTGAATACTTGAACTAATTTATACTCCCTCCAACAGTGTAAAAGCGTTCCTATTTCTCCACATCCTTTCCAGCATCTGTTGTTTCCTGATTTTTTAATGATCGCCATTCTAACTGGCATGAGATGGTATCTCATTGTGGTTTTGATTTGGATTTCTCTAATGACCAGTGATGATGAGCTTTTTTTCATATGTTTGTTGGCCGCATAAATGTCTTCTTTTGAAAAGTGTCTGTTCATATCCTTCACCCACTTTTTGATGGGATTGTTTCTTTCTTGTAAATTAGTTTAAGTTCCTTGTAGATTCTGGAAATTAGCCCTTTGTCAGATGGATAGATTGGAAAAATTTTCTTTCATTCTGTAGGTTGTCTGTTTACCCTGATGATAGTTTCTTTTGCTGTGTAGGAGCTCTTTAGTTTAATTAGATCCCATTTGTCAATTTTGACTTATGTTGCCATTGCTTTTGGTGTTTTAGTCATGAAGTCTTTGCCCATGCCTATGTCCTGAATGGCATTGCCTAGGTTTTCTTCTAGGGTTTTTATGGTTTTAGGTCTTACGTTTAAATCTTTAATCCATCTTGGATTGATTTTTGTATAAGGTGTAAGGAAGGGGTCCAGTTTCAGTTTTCTGCATATGGCTAGCCAGTTTTCCCAACACCATTTATTAAATAGCGAATCCTTTCCCCATTTCTTGTTTTTGTCAGATTTGTCAAAGATGAGATGGTTGTAGATGTGTGGTGTTATTTCTGAGGCCTCTGTTCTGTTCCATTTGTTTTATATATCTGTTTTGGTACCAGTACCATGCTGTTTTGGTTACTGTAGCCTTATAGTATAGCTTGAAGTCAGGTAGTGTGATGCCTCCAGCTTTGTTCTTTTTGCTTAGGATTGTCTTGGCTATATGGGCTCTTTTTTGGTTCCATATGAAATTTAAAGTAGTTTTTTCTAATTCTGTGAAGAAAGTCATTGGTAGGTTGGTGGGGATAGTGTTGAATCTATAAATTAATTTGGATAGTATGGCCATTTTCATGATATTGATTCTTCCTATCCATGAGCATGGAATGTTTTTCCATTTGTTTGTGTCCTCTCTTACTTTCATGCAAAGGATGAATAGTAAAATTAGGTAGAGCTATGACATCTGGAAGGAAAAATTAAATATTGTCTCTATTCATTTACATTTAAAGAGCTAAAATGGTCGCTTTGTCTATTTACTGTGAGTGACTGAATTTCTTCTGTGGAGGTTTATTTATCCTATATTGAGTTTCTTCATTCTTTGGTTATAAATCTTAGGTTTCTTTAGCAATAATCACATAAAATAGAATTGTTCCCCAAATGCTTATTTTTTTCTTTTTATAGTCAAATATTTTGTGGCCATGTTGTGATGTTATATTATCTAGTTTATATAGTGCTTACAAATAGGAACACAGAAAAGTTGATATAAAACATAAAAAATTCTGCCTTAAAGTTGAATGAAAGTTTTAGATTTGACCGTTTATGTTACCGATAAATAGCAATATTTGTTAAGGTCTCTTGTACCTCCACTCAACCTCCAAATACAGGTATACATACATACACAAATATGTATACTACAAATAAATAATATGTATTTGATTCTAGAGTAAATATTTCTTATCTCCACATGACTTTGAACAATATTTCATACATAGGATTTATTATTGGTTTTTAAATAAGAACATCTTCAAATTACATTATAAGGACATTTAAAAAATATTACAAGTTCATTATATCTTTATGAAACATTCTTGTTTGGTTTTCTTTTATCATGTTTTTAGGTCAGATGTGACCCTAAGGTTCCACAAAGAGACAGAGATTGATAATCAGGAAAGAATAGCCCTTTAATGTGATTTATATCTATAGATTTTATGTCAGATATGAAAAGTTGCTGTTCAAATTGTAAAGAAGGATCCATTAAAGAACACTTTAAACCATTTTACCGTTTAGCTTACCTTGAGCCCTTGTTTTTAGAATTATGCCTTTTAGAACAAACTTTAATAGCTTATCAAATGTTTACAAAATATAATTTGATTTTAAATTAATATATTAATAAGAGATAGAAATGACAAGCTATTTAATAATGTGTTTTTGGTTACTTTTAATGCTGTTTAATATGAAGGTATGTGGTGGTTCATAGCATTTCAGAAACCGGTGATTTTCTAAATCTCATCAGTAGATTTGAATTTCCTCTTAGGTGAAGTTAGACAAGGACAGATATGGATATAGTAGAGAATGTTGAAAGTTTACAGTTCTGTGAATGTCTGTCATTTCGTACTATTTGTTTTAGTGTATGGTTGGGTTAGATATGAAATAACCTATAGAATGCTTCTCAGTTCTTGAATGAATATATAAAAAATGACATATCAGTTGACATTTTTGTTACAATGAAATAATTTCCTAGTTATCTTCACTTAAACTGCTGCCCTTTCATACATTTCTTAATCATTTTCTTTTATTTGCTCAAATCATATTTTTGACAAAGTGAACTCTTCTGTGGTTTGGGTCAATCTTTTTTAAAAATATAGCGTATGAAATTTGCTTTTAATTTCTCATGAGTTATTCTAGTTCTTAGTAGGATTTATTTTCTCCACATCAGTGTTTAGATTAAATAAACAGTTTGCCTTTACCAGTGAACATCTCTCAGAGGTTGAACTCAGGTACTCTCAAGTACCCTCACAGAGGTTGCCCAGAATCTTCGGATTGACCCAATCTTAGATCTAATATAACCTGCTAATTTTGCAGATGAGGACATTTAGACCTAAAGAGGTAAATGAGTGAATTGATCAAGACTGACAGGAGATATTAGCAAGGGTGATACCGTAACCTGGTTTTTATTTTGCTTCCCAATCTTGTAGTCATTCATATAAGTATACTATGATTCCTGTGACTTTTTTCTATACTCATTCTGCATTCCAGAGTTTCTTCAGACTATTACTCGTTCTACCTGTATTTTGTACTTGGGTCAAACTCTCTTGCTTTGTCCCTCCCTGAAATTGATTAACGTTTTTCTGCCTTGCCTTTGCTTTAAAGGTTTCCTTTATTCCCACCCAAGACTAACTTCTAAAATTCCTCTTTATACAATTCAGCTTTTCATCTCCCTAGCATAGTGTTTTGCACAGACTAAGATATTTGATTCTTGGCCAGGCGCGGTGGCTCACGCCTGTAATCGCAGCACTTTTGGAGGCCGAGGCAGGTGGATTGCCAGAGCTCAGGAATTCAAGACCAGCCTGGGCAACACAGTGAAACCCCATCTCTACTAAAATACAAAAAAATTAGCTGGGTGTGGTGGCGTGCACCTGTAGTCCCAGCTACTCGGGAGGTCGAGGCAGGAGAATTGCTTGAACCCAGGAGGCGGAGGTTGCAGTGAGCCAAGAAGATCACGCCACTGCACTCCAGCCTGGGCGACAGAGCAAGACTGTCTCAAAAAAAAAAAAAAAAAAAAAAAAAAAAAATATATATATATATATATATATATATATATATATTTGATTCCTTATGCATGTACATATACACCATGCAAAGGATGAATTGCTTTTGGTGTAAGGAACAAAAAAAACCAATTTTTTTGGATGTTTTTACTGGTTTACAATGAGCAGGAGTTTATTGGCTCTTAAAAAAAAATCTTTAAAAAGTCTCATAGGGGTTGGCTGGTCTTGAGAATTTGATTGATCTGGAAGTTCATGATTCTGGAGTGAGCTCTGTTTTTCTACAATTTTCATAGTTCTGCTCTCATTTTGGCCATATCTTCAGGCCAGCTTCCCTCATGGTACAGAGAGCTTCCAATACTCCTAGAATTTGCTGCTTCTTTTACACCTTGAGAGGAAGGAGGGAACCAACTGTCCAACTAAATCTTGAACTTTGCCCTACCTGTACCAGTTACATCAAGTGTCCTTCCCTAATCCAGTTTGCCAGTGTGGGTGTGATTATTACGATTGGTTCAGGACAATCAGGACTCCTATTTGTTGCTGGGGTGGTGGTGGGAGTAGTGCGTGGCAGCAATCTATCGAAACTGGTATACTGTAGGAGAGGCAAGCATCCACAATGCATATTCCGTATGTAAACTAGAAATATTTATCCCAACATCAAGTTTATGTTACTTATCTATCAAAGGATATGTGTGTGGGGGTGGGGGAGAGGACTCCAGTAGACACTGAATAGAACAAAGGACCAAGTCTACATCCATCTTTGTTTTCTTATTTTAAACAATGCCTTAACTACAGTATCATAAACATGACACCACAAGTATCCGAATTCCAAAAGAAGAGAAATAAGCATTTTGGAGACTAGCAATTATAGTGTATCTGATTACTGACAAATAATTCTAAGGTGTTTTTTGGTAAAATTGATGATATCTAAGACAGTACTTTTCAGACTTTGATGTATATAAATTGCCTGGGAATTAAAATTCAAACACAAAATGAATAGATTTGGGGTGGGGCCTGAGACTCTGCATTTGAAATAAGATCCCAGGCAATCCCAGAGCTCTTGGTACATTTTGCTAGGACTTAAAAGACCAAACAGTTTCATGTTCTAAAGGTATTTAGAACTAGCTCAATTTACTATTGTAAGCTGCTATTGTCTCTTTTCTGGCCCTGTGCAGTGGCCTCATAACTGCCAACTTCACTTCTCTTGTCCCACTACAATCCATTCTCTAAATAGCAGCTATATGATCATTTTAATATGTAAATTTATCACTTCACTGCGTAAAACTTTCCTCTGGGATTCCATTACATTTGAATAAAATCTAAACTCCTTACCATAATACAAATGATGTAGCCCTGGCCTGCCTTTTGAAAATTATTTCTTAACCATTATTCTCCTTATTCACTATGTCTCAAGTCCTTTGCAACTTCACTTCATGCTGTTTGTCGTGCTGGGCCCCTGCTTCTTACAAGACTGTCTTTGTCTCATTGTTCAGGTCTCTACTTGAATGTTTACCACTTCTGAGTGTATCTCATGATTGACTTCACAGAAGTAAATTCTTGTGGGATGTTTTATTGAGACAGCAGATCACTAAATCTCAGTTAGGTGAATGAGGAATGTAAAAGTAGATTTAAAATTTTGGTTGTTTTGATTTAGGGTAAAGATTATTTCATAATGGATTTTAAAGGTTTTTTTCACATTTTTTATAGTATTATTTTTTTTTCTCTCCAAGTCACTGTGTGCCCAGTATTCTGCAGACAAACGAGAAGATGAGAAGATGTGTGATCATTTGATAAGAGCAGCAAAATATCGTGACCACGTGACAGCAACTCAACTAATCCAGAAAATTATCAACATTCTCACAGACAAGCATGGAGCCTGGGGAAATTCTGCAGTGAGGTAAAGGGATACCTTTAGGATTTGGCCACTGATTTTCTGTAGATGGCTTAGGTTTAGATAAATGACTTTGGATATGATCAAAGCCAGATGAAGAAGAGAGTAATTTAATTTTGTCTTTCATCATCTCTATGAATTTAAAGCCAAAGGGAAGGAGAAAATCAGTATGGGTACAATTATGGATCTTTATAGATCCATATTTATCCAATCAGTATGTGTACAATTATGGATCTTTGTAGATCAGTTTCCTCAACTACTTCCAAAATCATATTTGCTTTATCTACTTACTCCTTTTGAAATGAATTCTTAAGGGAAGCAGTTAAACTATCTTACTATCTACACTTATAGCCAAATTTTTACGTATATAACATTTTATTTTAAAAAACTATGCTCTTTTTATATTTTTTAGTTATTTGAAAGTAACCATATTTTCAAAGTATAATTTTGAAAATACAATAAAATGATTTTTTTTCTTATGTTGCAAATTTCAGGACTGTGATGATAAACTTGGTTAAATGCCTTCTTTAAAGTTTTACTCAATATATCTACCTTCTTTTAAGATAGCCAAACTGGACATGCTGTTGTTGATTTTACTTTATAGAAATTAATTAAATTGCCTTTAAGACTAAGGAACTTGGACAAATTATATATCCTCCATGAAATATTTTATGCTACAAATTTCAGGAACATGTGTTGACTCTTTTAAGTAAAGTTAATGACAGAAAGTTTTTATTTTGCTATTAGAAAACATTATATTTTAATTTCTAATTTTTGACCAACTTTTTCTAGAAGACAACAAAAACAAAAATAGTAAATTACTTGTATATTATATAAGAGTGTAATTTGCTTCCATTTGTGTTTTAATCAACTTATGTGTCTATCAGACATCAAAATCCAGTGTTAGAAATTTTCCAGTATAAAGAAAAAAATTTTAACTTTTAGAAAAGTAAACTTCAAAAATTTGCATTGAAAGCTATTTGTATAAAGTATTCACTAATATAGAATAAATGTAGCGTGTGATATTTATTACAAAGAATATTTGCATATAATGAATTATATTTCTGGGTACCTAATTTTTGATATTCAGAGAAAGAAAGGCAAGTCAAGGTCTTGAGATCAAAAGGACAGCCAACAGGAACCATGTTTGTTTGTTTGTTTTAATGTTATTTCAGTTGATCTGCAGGTGCAAGAGTGGTTATGGAAATAACATCTATTCATGGGTCAGTGATCTCTGGTGCCTTATCTTGCAACATCTAAAAGCCCATGGCGAGGAGAATGGAGGAGTGTTGTATTGAGGGTTTTAGAGTTTCAAAGTGCTTTATTATTACAGATTTGATATCATTTTGACATCAGATACTGAATGAATTAGGATATTACTCTGATGCATAGTGCCTGACACACAGTAGGAACCCAATGTGCATTTGTTGAATCTTTTTAAAAAGTTATTCTTTTCACCCAAAAGGTTTTGCAGTTTTAAAATAAACACATTTAGATAACTTATGTCAAGCGTTTCATGGGTTATTTTGATGGGATCAAAATTCTTTCTGTTGATAGCTGTACCTTTGTATAGCATAGTATATACATGTGGTATCAAAAGGAAAACATAGTTTTCCTGAAGTGATTTTGGTGTAATAAAATATCTTGGAGAGCTAAATGGACCATGAAATGTATTTATCTAGAAATAATTAGTGTTTCAGTAATAGAGTTGTTCTAAGGTATCAACTCTATTATTCATTAAGCCAGAAACAACTGAAATAAATTTTGAAATTTTAATATTTCTGCAAGTCCACAGAACAAAATATCTCTTACTTTTTCCTCTCAAATGAAAATAGCTGTCAAATTATTAGCTTTCTAATGTGTACATTTTAAATTCAGAACAACAAGAAAGGATGTACCATCACAAAATGGACATGATTAAATTAATATTTTCCTCTCTATAAATCTCATCTTACATTAAAAAACAATATGTAACAAAGCACATTGCCTGTATGTTCATATTTCTTTGTCATTATATTTAGTTCTGTATCATATTCAACTGTTACTTATTTAGAATACCTGGTTTCTCCCTAATGCATTTTTAAAAATTATCTTTAAATAGTCCTTTTCAATATTAATTCCCAATAATGTGAAGTGTGGATCTTAATGTTCCTTTTAAGGTCCATGTAAGAAAATGTAGCTGACAAAAATGTATGCTGGCTCACCATACTTTGACAGTGGTTAACTATTCTCTGATTTCCCTTGTATGAGGCTTGCATAATCAGCTTGTAAATTATGGACATGGTTGTAATAAATGGGAATAACACAGTGTACTTTGTTCTTCACTTAGCATAATTCTAGAAAACATAAATGGCATTAGAGAGAAATCAGAGTCATACTGTAGCTGTAATGCATTTAACTATGCTAAGCCTGCTAAAAGAAATATGCACAATGAGCAAAATTCTAGTGAAGAGGATTAAATTAAGTATAATTTCTTTGCATTTTATCTAAAGAATTATAGTAGCATTTTGTCTTTTAACTCAATCATATTAGAATATTTAGAAATTTCATTTGTGGCATTTTTTTTATTTTGACCCTCCTTTGGAATCCACGTAATTTGCTTGTAGCCATGGTTATGTAGGCCTGATACTTTCCCATTAATGTCATTTATTTTGTTTCACTATTGATGGCTTTTCTAATGCCACACGATCAGTGGGCTGCAATGCTGGCAGCTGGCCTGGGATCGGCAGTGGTTTTAATAAATCACAATCAGACCCATGCCATTACATCAATATTTTTAGTCAATTATAGAGAAGGTCAGGTGCTACATTCAGTATAGGAGCCTCAGCATGTGGCATTTGAGAAACATCTGGTCCTGCGACAAAACTGCAAGCCGGGGAAAAAAGAATCCAATTTATCCCATCTAAAGAGACCAAATGAAATCTGCTGCTTTATGGATAACACAATGATGATTATAGCCATTTTGAACATGTTATAGTTGGTAGACTTAATACCCTTTATAAAGACATATTCCCAAAAGTTTCCATTCAATAAAAACTGAAAATGAAAATATTATTTTCTCAGAGGCAGATGGGAATTGTTGTTTCCTCACAGCAGGCATCTAATATCTTTTGACACCTAGTGACCTGCCTGAATGCAATTTGTGTCTTAATATCTCGCTTACACCAGCTTTTGCCATGAGAGTTCTTTCTCTCTCTCTCTTTTTTCTTTGATGCCTAGACTATTGCATTGGTAAGTAAAGGAAAGTATTCCTCCCTTGGAGCTCTGATAACTGTGCCCTTTACTGTCATTGCATTTTTTCAAATGCTTAGAGATTTCAGGAAATAATGGGACAGACAAGTACCTGTTCATCCATACATTACTGTCACCTGGAGTGAGGCTCAGGTGAAAACTGAGAGAGCTTGATAAGAATAGTGGAATAAGCAAGAAAGAAGCCACAAATGAACAGAGTGGCAGAAGTAATTTTTTTCCGGTGCATGGAGCAGGCATTGTGTTTATTTGGGTCAGGAGACAAATCATCTTTCATGTAGATGACACCTGGTAAAGTGGCTGAATGTAAGAAGGATGAGGAGAGATGATGGAGAATACTGGATGGAAGTCTCAGAGGACATACTACCCTTTTCTCATATCGTCCTTCATTGCATTCTAATAGGCTGACTAATGTACCATGGAAATTCACTCTTGGTATTAGTCTGGGAAAGAGGTGGTTCTCATCTCTAAAAAATGCATAGGTAGAGCTAGAGACATAAATTATTTTAGAAGTAATAAGGTTTAGGAATTTTTAACGGAACCTCATATCAAAATTCTTGAATGCTTTTGATTAGTTTAGGAGACTGTTTAGGTTTAGATTTCTGCTGCTTTAAGAAACTCCTTTTCAGATTGCTTGAGTGTGTTCTAATGGATGCCCTCAAGCTAGAGGCGTCTCTTCCTGAAAGACATTCATCTTTTTTCTGTGTCACAGGCTTGCCGGTAAAATCTTTGTGATGCTCTCTCCAATTTTTCTTCAGTAAATCAAATCTTCCTTCTTTCAGAAAGATGAATGCTGTAAGGTTGGAGTGTTATAAAAAAAAATCAATGCAGACAAAATTGAAACAGTATGCCTCTGTATTGATTGGCCTTGTGAAATCGAAACTAACAGCTTTGTAACTGTTCCAGTGGACAGTTAGCTGACCTGTAATGGACAAACTATCAATATTAGCATTACTATTTTATCTTGTAGTATGTCATTTTAAAATCCAGAGTCCAAGGAAAGGCAGGCCTAAAGAATTTTTAATCTTCTTTGTAGGAAATATCCCACTTTGTTTTTATGTACCATTGTTTGCAGAAAGGAGTAGCTAATGTACTTGACCCGTTAAAAGCTATGGCTAGGGTGGTGTTGATTTTAAATCAGGTTCTCCTTTTAAGCCTAAGGAAAGATTGTTTTGAAAATAATTTCTGATGTTTTAATATATACTCATTGGTGAAATTCAATATTGAACTCATCTTGACGTATTTTCTTTTCCAAAAGAAGTATATCATGTCCTATCTTTAAAAAAATCCTTTACCTCTAATTTTTTTTTTACTAAATAAGTAATATCAATGAATTTGTAGTGAAATTAGTATACTAAAATGCTAATATACCTTACTTACTAAGAGTTCATCTTAGGCATTTGATTCCGTTACGCTATGTGGATAATCAAGCAAATGGGTACTCATAAGTGCAATATACACCCATTCTTATTCTTTCTAATGCGTTTATTTTTATTCCTAAGCCATGCCTAGGAGCTAGTACTTGACATCAGTGCAGGCACCACTCATTGCTCTCTCTGGGACTTTGACGATGCTAGAAATTCTTTATAGCCATTCCTGACAATAACATTGTAAGATGGCTTAATAAAGGTAACATTTTCCCCATGTATCCCCTCCTTGTTCCCCTTTCATAAGAAGGAGAGGGAAAAAATCAATAGCTAACAAAACAAATGGAAGAATCAATGGAGATGTTAGTTAAAGAAAACAGGTATATTTTTGAAAGTCTTTGCATGACTTAGTGTTTAGTTTTAAACACTATGTACTTTAAATGCCTGTGGCCAGATACATAATGAGACTCACCTATATGCTCATTTTTCTAGTAAGTTGATATTTCTGGGATCTGTCTCTACCACAGAGGCATATTGCAGTACTGATACTGAGGAGCCATTTTTTTCTTGTGTAGTATGTATTATATGGTCACAGTATAGTTGTGTCATATAATTATACATACTTATGGCACTAGATTTGAATTTTTATTATTAGTCAAACCTTATTTGTACTTTTCTTTCTTTTTTTTTTTTTTTCTTGGAGACAGAGTCTCACTCTGTCACCCAGGCCGGAGTGCAGTGGCAGGATCTCAGCTCACTGCAACCTCCCCATCCTGGGTTCAAGCAGTTATCCTGTCTCAGCCTTTGAAGTAGCTGGGATTACAGGTGTGTGCCCCATGCTAAGCTGATTTTTTTGTATTTTTAGTAGAGATGGGGCTTCACCATGTTGGCCAGGCTGGTCTCGAACTCCTGACCTCAAATTATCTGCCCACCTCGGCCTCCCAAAGTGCTAGGATTATGGGTGTGAGCCGCCATGCCTGGCCTATTTCTACTTTTAATGGCTAGAAAAATGTATGAATATTATCTTTTGTATATTTGTGATGTACTAATTACAGGCCTGATACTGAACATATGGGAATCAGAGAACTATACACTTTTCTCTTTTCTTTTTTCTTTTTCTTTTTCTTTTTTTTTTTAAGACATGGGATCTTGTCGTGTTACCTAGGCTGGATGCAGTGGCGTGATTATAGCTTACTGCAACTTTGAACTCCTGGGCTCAAGTAATCCTCCCACTTCAGCCTCTCCTGAGTAGCTAGGACTACAAATGGGAACCACCATGCCAGGTTAACTACATTTTCAAAGAATGAATATAAAGCAAAAAACCACATAATTTCATTGGCAAGTAACATGTTTTGCCATATTCAAAATTGAATATGTGCTTTTTATAATTCTGAGTAAAATATTTTTGTATAATTTCAAAGACATAAGGAATAAAATAAACTTATGGCATCCAAGTGTCAGCATTAGTCAATATATTACAAAAGTAAATAAAAACAAATTGAAAAATAAATTCAAGTTGTTGCACATATGCTCATTGAAACATTAAAAAATTTGTAGCATTTTTGGAATATCCTGCAAGTCTCATTATGCAGTTTTTCTTCAAGTCTCCAGTTTTTCTTGATATTCTTTCCTCCTATCTTCTGTGGCATTTATAATCAATTTATATTGCAGAATTTAGTACTTGACAGTAAGTTCTATTTCTTTGTTTTGTGTGTAGATTATAAGATTTTAGCCTTATGTTATTTCTGTAGTTCTTAGCATAGTACTGAACCTACAGTATGTCATAAAGAAATCATTTTTGGGGGTTGGGGGGTCAGGTAAACTATTAGTCTTAAAATTTTCATTATGCTGTATGAACTGAGAAATATTTGTTTCAACCAAAGCAGTAATAAATTTTGAAAAATAAAATTCAAAATATTTTATCATAACTAGTTGTAAACTATGAAGGATAAGATTGATTCAGAGATTAAGAGGAGTGTAATAGAAGTAGAGTATGTCTGAAAAGAGATGTACTATAGATAATACAGACTTGGGAATTTTGGTTTCTGTTTGTAAAGAACACTTTTCTTTGACAATTAAGTTCTGAGTAGATGAGAAAATTTTGAGATTCAGCAGATAACTAGAAGTTGTAGTTTGGGGGTGCTTGAACTTTTAAGTCTCTGTAGTAATTTTTGCTATAACCAGAAATTTTCAGAAGTATTCCAAAGGGTTGGGAGCAAATAAAATTATTTAAGGAATTTGAGAAAATATTATGGTTTTATATGGGTCTAGAGTGAAACCAAACAGTCTTAAAAAAAAAATCCCAATATGAGAATCACTTGAGAACCACAGCAATAATTTAGCCCAGCCTTGAAGTTTGTTGACAGGGCTGCTTCTACTTCAGGACCCTGTAGGCTGTTATAATAGCTGATATTTGACGTTTCAAATTTTGTTTCTCCTGCCTATTGGAACAATTCTTCTTTTCGTATTTATTTAGTACTGGCTGTATACCACTTACTATGCACATTTTGGCACTGTAGAAATCAATATGAATAAGACAAATATATCGCTTGCCTTCATGTAACTTTTTCTCTAATAGGGGAAATAGAAAAGTGAAAAACTATAAATAAATAGCTTAAAAAGCAATGATTATAATTTTTCACTGTAAATGGTCATAAACAAGGATATATTTGGAGGTTATAAAAGGGCTTTTTTAAAATGTTGTCTTTCTCTAATACAAGATTAGTGTGATTTTATGGAAAGAGCACTGTGCAGTTTGATGCCTTTGTATTCTCAGCCGTTGTCATTAACTGGTTATGTGACAATGAATAAGCTAAAAAAAAATAAGATCATAATTTTCATATACATTCATTATAGACAAATTGCAAGTGAGAAGAAAGTAATAGTCTGTTTGCATAGAGCTTGAGGTTTAAAGAGGGGAGATGTTAACACAAATAACTTACTGCAAATATATGGGCAATCTTACTATTAAAATAAGTTCATTGGATAGTAAGGTCCTCTTCACCTCTAAGATTGTGTGATTCTAAAAGTTTATTCAAGAATTAGAAAATAAAATTTAGAGCTTTATATGTTAATATCTAGGCTAGATATGCTAGTATTTTAAATAATTATAATAATAGTGATGTGAATAATAGGTGATACTTACTGAGCAATTAATTTTGAGCCAGACACTGTGCCAAGTATTTTTATTTAATTAATTATTTAATTAATTTATTTATTTTTTGAGACGGAGCCTCGCTTTGTCGCCCAGGTTGGAGTGCAGTGGTGGGATCTCAGCTCACTGCAAGCTCCACTTCCCGGGTTCAGGCAGTTCTCCTGCCTCAGCCTCATGAGTAGCTGGGACTACAGGCACGTGCCACCACACCTGGCTGATTTTTTGTATTTGTAGTAGAGACGGGGTTTCACCATGTTCGCCAGGCTGGTCTCGAACTCCTGACCTCATGATCCACCTGTCTCGGCCTCTCAAAGTGCTGAGATTACAGGCATGAGCCACCGCGCCCAGCCCTGTGCCAAGTATTTTTATAAGGATTATCTCATCGTATCTTAAAAACAGAGCAATGAGATAGGTAGTATTAATTGTCCCAAGTTTACAAATGAAGAAACTAGAGCTTTAAAAGTTTGTTACTTGACCAAGATCCAAAGGCTAGTATATTGAGTAGTTAACATTTGAACCCAGGCATTCTGACTCTAGAGCCTGTACTCATAACTATCATGCAACTTCTGTTTTGTTTTTTTGTTTTTTTGTTTTGAGCTAGGGTCTTGCTCTGCCACCCAGACTGGAGTGCAGATCACAGCTCACTGTAGCATCAACCTCCTGGGCTGAAGCAGTCCTTTTAACTCAGCCTCCCTGAGGCTCATGCCACATCTGGCTATTTTTTTTTTCTTTCTGGGCAACAAAGTCTCACTATGTTGCCCAGGCTGGTCTTGAACCCCTGGGCTCAAGCAATCTACCTACCTTGGCTTCCAAAGTGCTAGGATTATAGGCGTGAGCCATTACACCCAGTCAACTTCTTAATATTAGTAGTTGGTATTAGTTTGGTTTTTGTTCTTGTGGTTTTTTCGTTTTGAGACTGGGTCTTGCTCTTTTGCCCAGGATGGAGTGCAGTGGCATAAACATGGCTCACTGAAGCCCTGACCTCCAGGGCTCAAGCAGCCCTCCTCCTTCAGCCTCCCAAGTAGCTGGGACCACAGGCACATGACACCATGCCCGACTAATTAAGTTTTTTTGTCGAGATGGGGTCTTACTGTGTTGCCCAGGCTGGTCTTAAACTGCTGGCCTCAAGTGATCCTCCTGCCTCAGCCTGCCAAAGTGCTGGGAATTACAGGCATGAGCCACTTCACCCAACAGTATTAGGATGTTTTTTAATTTTTATTTTTGAGTGTTTACAATTTGCCAGGGATTTACTGAGCCCTTTACAAACATTATTTCATTAAATCCTCACAACAACCCTGTGAAGTGTATATTATTATTTCTGTTTTGCAGTGGAATAAATGAAGGTTCAGAAGCATTCTTGGTTTTTCAAGTAATAAAGCTTTTTTTTTTTTAGACTTTACTGTTTGCTACTTCAACTGTGGTGAACAATAAAAGGCTGTGACTGTTTGACTTTTTGTATTCTGAAATACTTGGGTCAGGATCATTCTTATTCTGTTGAGAATTTGATTTCTCTTTCCTTTCCCTACTCTTTTACCTAATGATTTTTACCTTTACTTCTTTAGCCTGTTTTCAAATTCATTTTTATGCAAAAAAAAAACCCCAAAACCAAAACACCACAAAAATTACTTTTTTTTGTAAATACTGTTCTTAGTTAGAACCCCAATATATAAAATGGATAAAAAGGAACCATCCTAGCTGACATCGAAAGCTCATGGGTTTCTTACTCACTGCTGCTCAAGGCATCTCACAATATGAAAATCACTCCCCAGCCCATTAAGGAGATAGGTTCCAATGGCAGCTTGTTATAATAAAAGGGAAGTGGAACCTAACCTCTTAAATCATAATATATGACTCTTTCTGGCATTGTCCAGCCTCCCTATAACTCTCATTGTCTTGTATTGAATTATCTTGTTTAAAAGTATAATTAATTTTTAGTAAATAACACAATATTATTCAAATATTAGTATGAAAGTGATACATGATTGGACCCGGATTAAAAACCAACCACATGAATTGTTAATACTAAGTTTATGAAGTGTAATAATTGTGTTGTGATTATATAAGAAAACATCTTTGTTCTTAGTCAATAAATATAGATAAAGGTTGAAGTGTCATGATATTTGTAACTAACTCTCATTTGATTCAGAAAAAAAATAATGTCTATCACACATATGCCAAGAGAGACTAAGAGGTAGCATGATAAAGCAAATGTACTGAAATGTAAGCAAGGTGGGAAATTTAGATGTAGGATTTATTTTTTTAAGTGTTCTTGCAACTTTTCCTTTAGTTTTTAACTTTTGCTGGGAAAAATACATCTGAGAAAATACTGAGAGAATTCCTGTTATGAGTTTTCCTTATGTTTTATTCCTCTATCTGTGGATAACTGAGAATTAAAACTTGGAGTTAAATATGAAATAGCTGGATATACAATGACTTATCTTTTTTCACCAAATATGTAATTAGAAATTTTGGTTGTATATGCCGAATTAGAAATTCTTTTACTTAAAATTTTCGGTTTAGTAAATTCTTGTCAATTTTTTTCTGTCTTAAAAAATAATACTTAGATTAATGTATACTTTCCTTCAAAATATCTGATACAGTGATATATAGAGATTTTCAACACTGTAGGTCATGAGAGAAGTCATTTATGCCTCTCCTTGTTTTATGGATGAGCAAGTTATTGTGGAGAACTTAAATGATTTGCTTAAGAGTATACAACTGGTTTTCTGGCAAAGCCAAGACTCAGAATCCTACTCTCCTGACTCCCACTTCACCATTTTGAGAATGACTGACTAAATCAGTCAGTCATTTGTTCGTCATTCCAAGGGTCTTTTCCTTCCCTTCTCCTTACTACTTTCCTTTCATTCTTCCTTCCGTTGATGCATTTCTAAATAAGTTTTCAAAATAGATTTGTTATGGAACTAAGAATTACTGGACACCTATTATGTGCCAGGCTTTATGCAAATTACTGAGTATATAACAGTAGAATAGACAGACTTGGATACTGTCCTCACGTAGCTTAGAATTTAACAGATTGTTGCTTTGAGTGTAGTTTAGATTTCCTTTTATTTTCTGCTTCCCCTGGTATCATGCTAAACCAGTCCTATAGCATTGTGTGTTTAGAATGTTGTTACTTATATCTCTGATCCAGATGATAATTTGGAAAATTTCCAGAGAGGGTATTTTTAATACGGAGTATTTATTATCAAAAAATTAAAAAAAATAAATTATAATAACTTTAGAATACTAAAGGATTGATATATGAAAAATTGCTTTTCTACAATTATTTATAAAAATGCATTAGGAAATTGTAGATGTACATTTTCTTAGTTTTACTTTTACATTTCTGAAGTTTATGGTACCTTAGTAAGTATATACTTCTGCAAAAGCAGAATGTTCACTGTCAACAGAGAGTATCTTCTAAAAAAAAAAAAGAAAAAATCGAAACTTTATTACATATGGGCATCTTCTTGTCAATGTTTACTACTGATGTGTTGGTTCTGAACTATAGCTGTCTATTAGAATCACCATGGGATTATTAAAAAAAGTACTGACGCCTGTACACCTTTCCCAGGATTCTGATTTAATTGGTCTGGAAAATGGCTTGGTAGTTAGTATTTTTAAGAAGCTCCCCATTTTATCCTAATATGGTCAATGGTAAAAATCACTGTGTTTAAATAGTCAAAGATTGGATTTTCCTGTAATTGCTTTTGACTAACAAAATGAGCATTCCTAGAAATTGATGTTAGAAAGGTACTTTAATGCTTTATATTATACATTCAGATTTCCCAGAAATGTTACACCTTGTTGTCTCTATCCTCTGCTGCATTTTACACACTGCTAATTTCCTTAAACAGTTCCTTCATATTGCCTTGCTAATCAACAATTTGCAATAGTTGTCTATTGTCAGTTGTCTGTACTCAGGCATTCATTTCAGACCTTGCTTTCCCTGTGTTGATTCACTCTCCTCCCTTTCTTGCTGGCTGCCCTTGTCTCTGTCTCTCTCTTCTTCCTGAAGACTCAAGCCTTCTATGAACTTACTTACCAGGGTTTTAGTGGGAGCACAGAAGTCCTTTTTATGTTTATAGGTTCTTCAGTTTTCTCATGTAAAGTAAGGATGCTATTTGTCCTACATGCAGGTCTCCTTGTGCTATTGTGAGAATAAATGTGACAAATGAGAAATTGTATGTACTTTTATGGGTACTTAGTGACTGATTTGTAATGAATTAACTACCTGAGGAAATAAAAATTGTTATCACATGTTAAATCATTATCATCAGAACAAAATCTAGTACTTGGCAATGTACTATTTAGTTCTCTAATTCTATAATGAATATCTCTTGGGTATATCTGAGGCAATCAAGAACACCTACGAAAAGGAAAAGATTCCTAGATGAAAACGATGTTTCAGAGCATCTACACTCTTGAAGCTTAGGTGCTTGTGAAAGGTGAAGGAGCTAATATGTAGAAAGGCATATAGAACAGTGTCTGACATATACCATGTAAATGCTTAATAACTGTTAGCTGTTGATTTGTACAAAAAGAGATACAGGAAGGGTTGAATCATAGACTAATAATATTGATTATCTGCAGCAGGTAGGTGAGAATGTGCTGGAAAGGACTGGGGAATGGGAACAGAGTACAAGCAATGAAAGGGGAGTGACAGTTCTCTGACTATACCTTTTGTATGCTTTGGACTCTTAGAACCTAATCTCTCTCTCTGTCTCTCTCTCTCTCTCTCTCTCACACACACACACACACACACACACACACACACACACACACATCAGCTATGTTGTGGGACAAAGTGAAAATCTAACAGCATTACAAATGAACAGCATAATTGCTCCAATAATTGTGGGGGAGAAAGATAATGAATCTAAAATTCCTTTATATGTATCCTAGGATTAGAGCAAATAAGTAAATATATTTTGGATAGTAAAAGCAAGATTTCTTTCTTTTGGAGAAAGGAGTTACAAATAAGGAGAGGAAACTCTAGAATGAATCCTGTGGTGATTGATTGGAATGAAATATCAATGTGAATTTATTGTTATGTGTACACACATAGAAAGATGATATAAACAATTACATATACATGTGTTAGTATGCACAATTAGCATACATACTTATATCACCTAGCCCTGTCTCCTGAGAAGACATAGAAGCAGTGACAACCAATGATAAAATGCAAACCTAGTTCCCAAATCTTAGTTTCTGTATGCCATTTGTTAACTTAAAAAACTAGATCTTTTTGGATAAATGGCTGATTTCAGAGCTAGGAAAGGGCAACTATAAGATTATCTTGTGGTGCCAGAAGGTAAGGAAGTACTCAAAAATGGGTAGCAGCATGTCAAAAGGACATAAATCCCAAAGATCTTTAAATAGCTAAATCTGTGACAATTTGAGCAACATTATAATATTGACAGTAATAGATTAAAAACCCATAGAATAAATATTTTTTAGTTTATCGTGAAGTCAATAATTTATAAATGGGAGGTAAGAGACAGCTCTTCTTTACAGTAGAATGTCAATTTTTAAAAGTAAAAAGATTAATAGATGTAGAAAAATCATCTTTTGGCAGACACCACAGTACTGTACAATACAATACAGTTTAGGCAATAATCAGTGAATACTGAAACTTAAGGCGATGGAATAATGAGAAAAAAGATAATTCCATTGTTTCAAAGTATCTCCCAACAAGATAGTTATTAATTACAAGCAGGAAACATATTAACTTCATAGTTAATATGTAGAAACGTGGCAGACATCATATTCACCAAATGATCAACTTAATACCATCAGTAAGAAGACTTCTTGACATCATATACCACCTGATGTGATGCACTGAGAAGTGCACAAGAGCACTTCCATGGTCTTCTTGCCAAAAATACAAATCTTCCATTTAATTAAGTGAAAATATTGGCCGGACACAGTTGCTTATGCTTATAATCCTAGCACTTCGGGAGGCTGAGGTGAGTGGATCACCTGAGGTCAGGAGTTCGATACCAGCTTGGCCAACTTGGTGAAACCCTGTATCTACTAAAAATACAACAATTATCTGGGCGTGGTGGTGCATGACTGTAATCTCAGCTACTCGGGAGGCTGAGGCAGGAGAATCGCTTGAACCCAGGAGGTGGAGATTGCAGTGAGCTGAAATCGTGTCATTGCACTCCAGCCTGGGTGACAGAGCCAGAGGGAAAAAAAAAAAGAGAAAATATTAGACAAGCTCAAATCTCAGGGATGTTTCACAAAACAAATGGTCAGTAGTCTCCAAAAATATAAAGTTCATGAAAAACAAGGAGAAATGGAGGAATTGTTCCAGATTTGAAGAGACTAAGAAGACATGATAACTAACTGCAGTTTGGGATTCTGTATTAGTTATTGGTCAAGAAAAGAAAATTAATGGGAAAATTTGCAAAAATCAAATGTACTCTGAAGATTAGTTAATAGTATTGTATCACTGTAAACTTTTTCATTTAGATAATTGTAGTGTGGTTATATAAGATTATAACATTAGAGGAAGCTGAGTGAAGGGTATACAGGAACTCTAATATTTGTAACTTATAAAATTGTCAAATTTTAAAAATTAATAGCTATTATTATTGCATATGCATGAAACTATTAGTCTCAGTTCTTAGAGTTTTCAGTTACTCTCACTTTTCACAGATTTTATAAACTGTGTTTGCCAGGCCACAGTAGAAGAGAAGCACTCTACTGGACGACCTTAGATTTGCAGCCAGGATTGAGAATCATCACAATGACTGGTTTTGCTATCTCTATATGTACCACTGGGATTTAAGACCAGGGCGCAGTCTCTTCATGGCTGGCTTTTACTCACCTATCAGGCCTTATCTCTCCTTATCCCTCCCTTTGACACTTCCCCTCTAATACACAGCCACTTACATACTCTCACACTCTTTCTTTATGCTCTTTTCCATCTCTAGTCTCCAAGCATTTTCATATTCTATTTCCCTCACTAACTTAGGTTTCCCGCCATGCCCCTCACATCAACTTCTACTTCCCATGTTATGGTACTTGTTAAGCTGTTTATTAATTGTTTTTGAAATAATCTTTCCCTTCTAACTTATAAATGCCATTAGGGAAAGGGTGATATTTATTTTTGTTCATTATGATGTGCTGTGAATTGTACACAATAAATGCTTGTTGAATGAATGAAAGAATTACAGGTTCCAAGCTTTAAAGATGGTAACTATAGATGATAGAAATGAACTGAAAAATCAAGTCTCAGGTTTGAAATTTGTTTTAACATTCTCTTTTGTGGGATTTAGGCCACATGGATAATTAAAAACAAAATAAAATAAAGTCTAGAGTGAATTGCTTTTTACACACTGCCTATAGCTTGTTTGGTCCTAGTCTGTGTTTAGTATGATTTGGTAACACCACATCATTCTCAGACTGACTGTGAGATCTCTGATACCACTCTTTCCCTCCAGACCCACTAATGAATTTGTATTGTCTTAAGTCAGCCTAGGGAATAGTTTACTTTGGCATCATTTGAGTTTTTAAAATTTGCAAAGGAAGACCTAAAGCTATTGGCACATACTGGGTTTTGGACTTTACTAAGACTCATAGATATCTAGAGTCCACAAGAATAATTGCTTAGTGTACTGCCTTTTATATTTTCTCCCATACCCAAACTTCCAGAGGCCATTTTTACCTCCATCATTATCAGGAACTTTTACTGTAGGCCAAATGCATAGAACATTTATGATAGGGAAGAAAGAAACTACATTGACTATAGAGCCTGTATTAGTTTCTTATTGCTGTGTAATAAATTACCACAAATTTACTGGCTTGAATAACACAGTTGTTCTGGAAGTTCAGAAGTCTGAAATGGGTTGGCAGGGCTGTGTTTCCTCTGGAGGCTTGTCTTAGTCTATTCAGGTTGTTATAATAAATTGCCGTACACTGAGTGGCTTAAAGTACAAACATTTATTTGTCAGACTTCTGGAGGCTGGAAGTCTGTGATCTGGTGCCAGTCAGCATGGTTGGATTCTGGTGAGAGCCCTCTCCCAGGTTGAAGACTACTGACTTCTCATTGTATCCTAACATGGTGGAAGGAGAGCTAGAGAGTTCTCTGGGGCCTCTTTTCTAAGGGCACTAATTCTATTCCTGAGGGTCCTACCCTCACAATCTAATTACTGACTAAGGGACCCTACCTCCTAATATTGTCACATTGGGGGTTAAAATTTCAACATATGAATTTATAGAGAACACAAACATTCAATCAATTGCAGGTTTTTGGGGGAAAATTCCTTGACTTTTCTATCTTCTACAGGCTGCCTTCATTCCTTGGTTCATGGCTTCTTCCTCCATCTTCAAAACTAGCAGCATAGCATCTCCAAATTTCTCTCTGACTCTGCTTCTCTGTTGTCAGTCTCCTTTTCCTCTGCTTCCATCATCACAATGCCTTCTCTCACTCTAACCTTCCTTCCTCCCTCTTATAAGGATGCTTATGATTACATGCCCAACGAAGTTAATCCTGGATAATGCCCTCATATCTATATCCTTAATGTAATCACATCCACAAAGTCCCTGTAAAGTAACATACAGGTTGTGGGGATTAGTATTTAGACATATTTGGGAGGCTGTTATTCAGCCTAGCACAGTGTCTATCCTCTGAATCCTTCCTTTAAGATGATATATTAATATTGTATGGTATAGTGATTAAGACCGTTAGCTTTTAAGTAAAGCAGACATGGGTTTGAATCTCTTTACTTAACAGATACGTGACACTGGCAGAGCACTTGGTTTTTGGGTGTTTTCAGTACCACTTAGTCTCTCTGGGTTTCAGCTTCCTTAAATATTTTCCTTTCATTAGTTAAATAAGGATGATTCTTCACATGGTTTAATATCAAATGTGAAATAGGAAATGTATTACATAGTCCTGGGTACAGAAAAAATGACATCAATAATATAAAAAAATAGAATGAAAACTTAATGGATGTGACTAAGGCTTTGTTTATTTTTTGTGGTACAATTGACATACAATAAACTGTACATATTTAAAATGTACAGTTTGACATGTAATCCCTTAGTATCCACAGAGAATTGGTTGCAGGGCCCGCATGAATACCAAAATCCACAGATGCTCAAGTTCCTTGTATAAAATGGTATAGTATTTGCATATAGCTTACATATATCCTTCTGCTGTATCATCTCTAGATTACATATAATACTGAATACAATGTTCATGCTATGTAAATGGTTGTTTTACTATATTTTAAATTTTGCATTTTTTTTTCTTTTTTGGAGATGGTGTCTCACTCTGTTGCCCAGGCTGGAGTACACAGTGGCACAATCTCAACTCACTGCAACCTCCACCTCCCAGGTTCAAGCAAATCTCCTGCTTCAGCCTCCTGAGTAGCTGGGATTACAGGCACACACCACCATGCCTGACTGATTTTTGTATTTTTAGTAGAGACTGCTGGTCTAGAATCCCTGACCTCAAGTGAACCGCCTGCCTCAGCCTCCCAAAGTGCTGAGATTACAGGTGTGAGCCATGGCACCCGACCTATTTTTTATTTTATTGCTATTTTTTATTGTTTTCTTATATGAATATTTTCAGTCTGTGGTTGATTGAATCTGCAGATGCAGAACCTGAGGATACCGAGTGTTGACTCTGCTTATGTCTATCCATGAAACCATCATCATAATCTAGAGATTTTTTCCTACCCTTTCGTGATTACTCTCTCCCACCCTCCCTGCCCCTAGGCAGTCATTGATCTTCTGTCACTCTAGATAAGCTTACATTATCTAGAATTTTATATAAATGGTTTTATGCAATTTGTACTTCTTTTTTGTCTTCTTTCACTCAGCATAGTAATTTGAGGTTCCTCCATTCTACTGCGTGTTTTGATGAGGGAAGTTTGGCATAGAAGAATGATCGTAGGTTTTGGCCTCATATAGTTCTTAGATGTTTACTCAAGTGAAGTAGAAATACAGTTTACCGGAGAAAACCATATTGAATTGTGGCAGATGAAAATATCTGTGGTATATCCATAGTAGACTATTATTTAGCAATAAAAAGGAACAAATTACTGGTGCATATAACAACATGGATGAATCTGAAGTGCATTACAATAAGTGAAAGAAGCCAGACTCAAAAGGCTATGTGCAAATGTGATTGATTCCATTTGTATGACATTCTGGAATAGGCACATTATAAGAATAGAAATTAGACCAGTGGTTGTAGAGGTTGATTAAAAAGGGGTGCAAAGATTTTTTTTTTCTTGGCATGATGGAGCTGTTCTGTATCGTGATTGTGTTGGTGATTATATAACTTTGCAGAAAAGTGTTAACGTAGCGTCTCATCCTTTACAAAGGGTCAGTTACAAGGTGGACCCTTGGCTGGCATCTGGGAATTTGAATAGTAAACAGGTCCCTACACTGATATAGAACTTTACATAAATGATGAGTGGCTCACTGTGCTTAGACTGTTTGTCCAAACGATGTAGTTGATTGTAAACATCAGTTTTCTTTCTGGGAGTCTAGAATTACAGCATGTACTAGACAGAGGGTCCCTAAGCAACCAGTCCCAAATGAAAACCTTGGGAGCTGAGTCTCTAAATAAGGTTCCTTTGACAAACATTTCACACATTGTGATATGTGTGAAATTCCTGGAGGAATTAGACACATCCTGTGTGATTGCGTAAGGAAAGGACTCTTGGAAGCTTGTACCTGGTTTCTCTAGATCTTGTACCATGGCACTCCCTTTGTTGATTTTGTTTGTACTAAGACAAGATTCAGGAAGTCATAGCCATGAAGATGACTCAATCCTGTGATTCCTTGTGAATAATTGAATCTGATGGTATCTTAGGGGTCCTGACATAATTGTATGTGTTTGTCAAAACTCATAAAATTATATGTGAGTTATGTCTCAAAAAGTTCTCAACTTATGTAATGTTTTATTTTATAAAAGAAAATGAACTTGAAGTTGCTAGGCTTCTTAAGGTTGTAATCTATTCATGAGTAGAAGAAAATTATCTCATGAGGTAAGTTTGGCATAGAAGAATGATCATCGGTTTTGGCCTCATACAGTTCTGGGTTTTTGAAAATAAGCACTTTTAATTAGTAGTTTTTTGGCCTTGGAATTATATAATGTGCACTAAACCTCAGTTTACTCAATCTTAAATGGCAATGTTAATTCCTGTGTCATATGTGAAATGTTAGGGAAAAGCTTAGGGGCTAAGGATTTAGGAGTTTTTGGATTATATATACTTTGAGGGAACACATCCTGTGAACCGGTGGCATGAAATCCACACTGCATGTGATTAGAGGATATATAAATGGAGAAATAAAGAAGTGAAATGTCAGTGACAGGCTATTATGCTTTATGATACACTTGTATTAGGTAATGCCATTATACATTTCCTGGTCTGTTTTCGATAATATGTCAAGCCATAATTAGGTATTCATTGAAAAGAGAAAACTCAAGGGTCTATTCTGAGATCAGAACAGCTTTCCATTGTTTATATGATCTATATCTATACCCCATTATAACAATCGGTTATGATTACAACCTAGATTCATTGAAAAACCCTTGGTTATAGAAGTCTGCAAGTAGTCTACCAGTGGGTTTCCTTGTCTTTACTCTCTTTCAATGCTATTGCAGCCTTCCTAGTACCATTATTAAAACCACTTCATTGAAAAACCTAAGACATGACATTCAAGGCTTGTTAGTGCCATTCCTTAAATCTTCCTTGCCATTCATCTTTTTCGTGCATCTCTAACCACACCAAGCAACTTGCGATCCAGACATACCTTTTATTTTTTCTTTATATTTTCTCATGCTCTTCTTTGTGTTTTCAGTTCTGTTCCCATGTTATCTTCTTGGTGAGTTCCCATTTGTCTTTCAGAATCCTTCCGAAATGTGACTGTGTCCAAGTACTTTATCAGCCATTGCCTCTTCTTTCTCTCAGAAGCATTACTTGGTAGATATTTCTTTGCTTATATGTGTTCTCATAGCGTTTGATAAATACAAGTATTAAAGCACTTATAGTCTGGTACACATTTTATTTTTTCCCAGTATACTATAAAGTACTTGTAGAGTAGAAGCCCGTAACATTAATTTTGATGTTTTCATCCCTGGTCCAATACCTGATATATACTACCAGGGTCTTAAATATTTGATACTGAATAAAAGAAGGAACATTGATATGAGATTCCATGGATGTCTTTTGTACTTTTATTTTTTCTCTTCTTTTTTTTTTTTCAGCATAAGTGGGGTGAGTAGAACTGTCCTAAGTTCAATTGAAAACACAGGAATAAACTGAGTTTATGAAATTTTTTATATTCAAAATAAGTCTGGTATTTTTATATCATATGACATCCTACCAAATTTTGGTAGACAGTAATGGAAATGATACTCTTTTGTGCACCTTCTGTCATCAATTTGACATCTTACTTGATATAATTTTTGCCATCTTACTTGAGCCTGGTCTTCTGTAGACTCCTTTGCCTTCATATATATACAGTGACTTCAAAGTTTTTTCTGGAAATTCAAGATCTACACCCTAGATCCCTTTATTCTCTGAAACGGTAGTTCCCTATAGACAATCAGAATTCTCATTAACCGTGACTTATTTTAGCTAGGTTACATTTTGTTAAATAAATTTTATATCAAGGTCTGAATGTGAGCAATTCAATAAATTTCCTCAAGTTGTATTTGTATTTTAACAGAATAATTTGTTAATGTAATTAAATTGCTAGTTTGTAAAGTTTGTGAGGGCTTTCTACTGATCTAACCCCTTTTATCTTCTGTAGATTTTATCTGTTTTTTTTTGTTTGTTTGTTTTGTTTTGTTTTAAGAGATAGGGTCTCACTCTCTCACCCAGGTTGGAGTGCAGTGCCACAATCTTGGCTCACAGCAGTCTTGACCTCCTGGGGTCAAATGATTCTCTTGCCTCAGCCTCCTGAGTACTAAGACTGCTACCACCCATGGCTAATTTTTTAATTTTTTTGTAGAGACAGAATCTCGCTGTGTTGCCCAGACTGGTCTCAAACTCCAGGCCTGAAGCAGGCCTCTTGCCTCAGCCTCCTAAATGCTGGGATTACAGGCCTGAGGTACTGGCCTCACAAATCCTTTGTAGATTTTGGAGTGAAATATACTCATCTTTGTTATCCAATAGTGTTCTTATCTTACACTTTCACTCTTTTTGCCTACTTCTTTCAAACTTCTTCACCTTTGCAAACAGATCTATACCATACAGCAGTAGTTCTTAACCTTGTCTACATATTGGAATGTAGGAAGCTTTTAAAAAATTTCCGTTGCCTGGATTGCACCCCCAGGGATTTAATTGGTTTGAGGCACAGCCTATTTATCTGGTAATTCTTCTTTTATCCTAACAAGGGTGTGCTTTGGGAGGGAGTGGGTTGCTACAACCCTCTAGAATAGAGGTGACATCTTGCAGTTTCATGTAATATCCTTCTCGTACTGACATTTTTGCGAAATACCTGTCATCCTCTGCGAATAGCAAATGCTATAGTATCAATACAAAATTCTGAACTTTCTAAAAAGTTTAATTTTATAATCTTTCATATTATAATAATCATGATTTTTCATGGATTACATTATATTTGTTAATATTAGCCTCTGTGAAAAGAAAATAATTATTGGGATTTAGATGAGATTTTACTTTCCACTTAATCTCTTTCAGACTTTAAAGTGTATTTTAGACACTTGCTCTTGTAGTTACAGATACTTAAAATGCTGTATACAAACATCCCAGAAATTATGTAAAATATAATTTGAAAAATTTTTGATATAGCTTAATGAATTTAATTATAACTATGGTAATAGGAATCATGTGGAGATACAGTTCAAGTATTTAAAAATAAAACATGAGGCTGGGCGTGGTGCCTCATGCCTGTAATCCCAGCAGTTTGGGAGGCCGATGCTCGTGGATCACTTGAGGTCAGTTCGAGACCAGCCTGGCCAACGTGGTGAAACCCTATCTCTACTAAAAATAAAAAAATAAAAAAATAAATTAACTAGGTGTGATGGTGGGCTCCTGTAATCCCAGCTACACAGGAAGCTGAGTCATGAGAATCACATGAACCCTCAAGGCAGAGGTTGCAATGAGCTGAGATTGTGCCACTGCACTCCAGCCTGGGCGATAGAGTGAGACTCAGTCTCAAAAATAAAAATAAAATAAAACATGATGCACTGTTTTAAGACAATTCTAATGTGATTATTTATCCTGTAGAATTATTTTGTAAAATATTTAATGGACATAAAAGTTTTTTTTATTTGTAAAAGTTCTTTCTTTCTTTCTTCTTTTTTTTTTTTTTTTTTGAGACAGAGTCTCGCTGTGTTGCCCAGGCTGGAGGGCAGTGGCACGATCTCGGCTCACAGCAACCTCCGCCTCCTGGCTTTCCCAGCTTCAAGCAATTCTTCCGCCTCAGCCTCCTGAATAGCTGGGATTATAGGTGCCTGCCGCCACACCAGGCCAATTTTGTAGAGATGGGGTCTTACCATGTTGCCCGGGCTGGTCATGAACTCCTGACCTCAGGTGATTGACCCGCCTCAGCCTCCCAAATTGCTGGGATTACAGGTGTGAGCCACCATGCCTGGCCTCTGTTTGCTTTTTACATAGTCAAATCATGCTATTTATTAAGTACTGTATCAGGTTCAGGGTATACACTGTAACCCTCATTTGGAAACTTTTTTTTTTTTTTTTTTTTTTAATTTATTTTTTTATTGATAATTCTTGGGTGTTTCTCACAGAGGGGGATTTGGCAGGGTCATGGGACAATAGTGGAGGGAAGGTCAGCAGATAAACAAGTGAACAAAGGTCTCTGGTTTTCCTAGGCAGAGGACCCTGCGGCCTTCCGCAGTGTTTGTGTCCCTGATTACTTGAGATTAGGGATTGGTGATGACTCTTAACGAGCATGCTGCCTTCAAGCATCTGTTTAACAAAGCACATCTTGCACCGCCCTTAATCCATTTAACCCTGAGTGGACACAGCACATGTTTCAGAGAGCACAGGGTTGGGGGTAAGGTCACAGATCAACAGGATCCCAAGACAGAGGAATTTTTCTTAGTGCAGAACAAAATGAAAAGTCTCCCATGTCTACTTCTTTCTACACAGACACGGCAACCATCCGATTTCTCAATCTTTTCCCCGCCTTTCCCGCCTTTCTATTCCACAAGGCCGCCATTGTCATCCTGGCCCGTTCTCAATGAGCTGTTGGGCACACCTCCCAGACCGGGTGGTGGCTGGGCAGAGGCGCCCCTCACCTCCCGGACAGGGCGGCTGGCCGGGCGGGGGGGGCTGACCCCCCCCACCTCCCTCCCGGACGGGGCGGCTGGCCGGGCAGAGGGGCTCCTCACTTCCCAGTAGGGGCAGCCGGGCAGAGGCGCCCCTCACCTCCCGGACGGGGCCACTGGCCGGGCAGGGGGGCTGACCCCCCCCACCTCCCTCCCGGACGGGGCGGCTGGCCGGGCGGGGGGCTGACCCCCCACCTCCCTCCCGGACGAGGCGGCTGGCGGGCGTGGGGCTGACACCCCCACCTCCCTCCCGGACGGGGCGGCTGGCCGGGCAGAGGGGCTCCTCACTTCCCAGTAGGGGCGGCCGGGCAGAGGCGCCCCTCACCTCCCAGATGGGGCGGCTGGCCGGGCGGAGGGCTGACCCCCCCACCTCCCTCCCGGACAGGGCGGCTGGCCGGGCGGGGGGCTGACCCCCCCACCTCCCTCCCGGACGGGGCGGCTGGCCTGGCAGAGGGGCTCCTCACTTCCCAGTAGGGGCGGCCGGGCAGAGGCGCCCTTCACCTCCCAAACGGGGCGGCTGGCCGGGCGGGGGGCTGACCCCCCCACCTCCCTCCCGGACGGGGCGGCTGGCCGGGCGGGGGGCTGACCCCCCCACCTCCCTCCCGGACGGGGCGGCTGGCCGGGTGGGGGGGCTGACCCCCCCACCTCCCTCCCGGACGGGGTGGCTGGCCGGGCTGAGGGGCTCCTCACTTCCCAGTAGGGGCGGCCGGGCAGAGGCGCCCCTCACCTCCCGGACGGGGCGGCTGGCCGGGCGTGGGGGCTGACCCCCCCACCTCCCTCCCGGATGGCACGGCTGGCCGGGCGGGGGGGCTGACCCCCCACCTCCCTCCCGGATGGGGCGGCTGGCCGGGGTGGGCTGACCCCCCCCCACCTCCCTCCCGGACGGGGTGGCTGCTGGGCGGAGATGCTCCTCACTTCCCAGATGGGGTGGCTGCCGGGCGGAGAGGCTCCTCACTTCTCAGACGGGGCAGCTGCCGGGCGGAGGGGCTCCTCACTTCTCAGACGGGGTGGTTGCCAGGCAGAGGGTCTCCTCACTTCTCAGACGGGGCGGCCGGGCAGAGACGCTCCTCACCTCCCAGACGGGGTCTCGGCCGGGCAGAGGCGCTCCTCACATCCCAGATGGGGCGGCGGGGCAGAGGCGCTCCCCACATCTCAGACGATGGGCGGCCGGGCAGAGACGCTCCTCACTTCCTAGATGTGATGGCGGCTGGGAAGAGGTGCTCCTCACTTCCTAGATGGGATGGCGGCCGGGCGGAGACGCTCCTCACTTTCCAGACTGGGCAGCCAGGCAGAGGGGCTCCTCACATCCCAGACGATGGGCGGCCAGGCAGAGACACTCCTCCCTTCCCAGACGGGGTGGCGGCCGGGCAGAGGCTGCAATCTCGGCACTTTGGGAGGCCAAGGCAGGCGGCTGGGAGGTGTGGGTTGTAGTGAGCCGAGATCACGCCACTGCACTCCAGCCTGGGCACCATTGAGCACTGAGTGAACGAGACTCCGTCTGCAATCCCGGCACCTCGGGAGGCCGAGGTTGGCGGATCACTCGCGGTTAGGGGCTGGAGACCGGCCCGGCCAACACAGCGAAACCCTGTCTCCACCAAAACCAGTCAGGCGTGGCGGCGCTCGGCAGACTGAGGCAGGAGAATCAGGCAGGGAGGATGCAGTGAGCCGAGATGGCAGCGGTACAGTCCAGCTTTGGCTCCGCATGAGAGGGAGACCGTGGGGAGAGGGAGAGGGAGAGGGAGAGGGAGAGGGAGAGGGAGAGGGAGAGGGAGAGGGAGAGGGAGAGGGAGAGGGAGAGGGAGAGGGAGAGGGAGAGGGAGAGGGAGAGGGAGAGGGAGAGGGAGAGGGAGAGGGAGAGGGAGAGGCAGAGGGAGAGGGAGAGGGAGAGGGAGAGGGAGAGGGAGAGGGAGAGGGAGAGGGAGAGGGAGAGGGAGAGGGAGAGGGAGAGGGAGAGGGAGAGGGAGAGGGAGAGGGAGAGGGAGAGGGAGACTTTTATTTTCTGATAGGTTTTTCAAGTTTTGAGCCTTTGGAGTACTTACCTGTCATGTGCTAAGTATTATGATAACTTGATAACAGCCAATCAGGAAGGCATATTTATCTAATAAGGAAAGATTTCAGCAGTTTTTTTTTTTTTTGGCTTGCAGACTGTTATTTTAATAGGAATGTGTTAAATATCCATTTGAAAGAACAGTCCAGAGATAGAAACGATTTATGTATTTCATATACCTTTTTAAGAAAGTATTACTCTTCCAGAATAAGGTCAAGATAGGTCTCTGATCAGTATCAAAAGAAGGGGGGGAATCTATTTTCAAACTTTTTTAGAATTCAATTGTTTTTGAGAGCACAATATCTGTGGAGTATCGATCGTCAGGGTCCCGTAGTTAGTCAAAGGCTATCTCCTTTGACTCACCCCTTAGCGTGGTGTCATCCTCCTTCATGTGATAGATTGTTACAATCTCAGGCAGTGTAATTACACACTAGGCAAGTGGGTCATTTATTTCTTTACCTTCACCATTTACCAAAAATCTCCTTTATCTTTGGGAGCCAGATCTTTCTTTTGCAGTAAAAGCAAAATAATGGCACATAAAACATTAAATGTAAGAACTAAGCACCTTAAAATTATTAAGAAAATAACTTAAAAAAAGCAAACTGTTAAATCTTATATTATTAATACTGTTAAAAATGTATGTTAAACACTTAAGAGTAGTGTCAGGCACATAGTAAACATACATGTGTTATTACTATTAAGTTAAAAAATCTCAGTTTTTTAATATTTTTGGGAAACGAAACATTAAAGTACTTTGTTCTACTCTATTATATCTTTAAGAATCTTAAAACCCCCTTTTAAAATATTAATAATCTTAGTTTTGGGGAAACTGTACTATGAATTCTTGTATTTTTTTAAAACTTTATATATAAATACAATGGTAAATGCTTCCACATCTCAGAAATTTTGAAAGGATAAAAAATTTGTTTTTTAACCCATGTTTCTATGGAAATTAATCATTTTTCCCTATAATTTGAGGTGTAAATCTTCAGAATAAATGGAATAAATATTGTTCTTTACCTGTGAACACAATGTTAAATGCTTACACATGTAAGAAACAAGTCATGTTGATATTAAAATGGTAACCCCTAGAGGTTATTACTAAAAACATCTTTTGTTTGCTTATATGATATAGAAGCATTTTAGCATAATTATTAATTATAAAGAAAAATTATATTTTGTTTTTTTAAAAAATACACTTTAAGCGTAAAATGTTCTTTGCTTTAAAAACAAAACTAGAAAAACAAAAACATGTCTCCTTCGTAAGGGAAGTCTGTCTTATGGATTGCTGTTCATCATTTCCTGATTTTGTATATTTGCTCACATTAGTTCATACACTTGTACTTCCCCCTTCTGTGCTAAGCTGAGTACTACTTTTTATGACAAGCCAAATGTGAGTAGAGATTCCTCCACTGGGTGATGATATTCCCATTCTATGGGCTCTTACAACATTGATGTCAACTCCATTCATTTGGCTTATATATGTTACATATTTGCCTTTTTATATGTTTAACCTAGTCTAATCAAATTAGCAGCTTCTTAAGGCAGATACTGTTTCTACTCATAATACTTTCATGGTGCCTTATGAATAATGCTCATTTATTTATTCATTCAATAAATATTTGTAATAGGTATTGAGTTTCACTGTTTGCAACATTGTTCTAAGCACTGAATATCTAGTAGTGAATAAAACAGACAAAATTTCCTGCCTTCATGGGTCTTACATTTTAGTATAATATTATAGTGCCCAATAAACATTTATTTAGTAATACTTACAGTTGTCTGAATGACTACTTCTGCAATCAAGGGAATTTTATCATAGTAAATGTCTTAGGAATATTTTTGTAGACTGTGTTGTTCTGAGTAGTTCTGTGGCAGCCATGAAAGGTGGTTTCACAGTCTGATAAAAGGTAGCTTTGTTGTGCAGGCAGAGATCAGACAGTTTACGCCAACTGTGTTAGTATGGCAAAGTAGTAAACTTTGAAGACTGGTTTTATCTAACCTCTGGATTTAGAAAAAGAAAAGAAAGAAAACAAAACCCACAACAACACAAACAAAATAAGCCTTCTCTAACAATATAAAAGCAACTCCTGAGTACCCAGCCAGAAATGAGCATTCCTGAGAAGGGTATTACATTCAGTTCATCATTTTGCTACTGGATTAAAATCAAAGGTTTGGCTGATGCTCTTGATATGAAAATTAGACCTTTCACTTGGGGGCTGAGAAGCCTAACAAAATGAAAGCAACACCAAAAACAAGCAAACATAGAAGTTGGAAGTGTAGTGGATTTTAGCAGCAATGGCAGCTACAATTAGGATGAGTGGTATGGAGTGCAAATGGCAGACGTTTTGAAAATAGAGAAGTGAACAAATAGAAGCAAAAAACCCTTCCAAAACCCAGAATCTGATCACACATCTTCTACCCTACCCTCTAACCTCCTCCCCACAAATGTGAAGATCCTACAAGTTAGACTAGGTTTGCGATGGGAGAGAATACAAAAAGATGTTTTAGGAGGGGCAGTTGGCGATAAATACCCCCCAACACAATACAGTAATATAGAACCTTTGGAAAGTAGCTATTTGGAAGACCCTTGAGGTTCCATGTCACCATGATTTTTATTAAATAGAATTTGGTATTTTAAAATCATATGAAAACTTTATCATTAGACAATCCTAAATGATAATTATTTTTCATTTCCATTGCTATTTGTTTCTGTCCTGAGTGAAATAAATTGATAAGCATTGCTCTTGTCAGTGGTGTGAAAAGACAGAAACAGCACTGGCCATTTGTATATCTTGACAGCAAACTTTTGGTTTGCCAAGTGTCAGTTTTTCAGTCAATGCCCATTGAGTGGATTGCTCTTGCTAAAAAGGTGTACATTGCTGGAGAAAACACAAGCTTGTAGTGAAAGCAATTTAGCAGTATCTACCAAAATTACATATGCACTTATTTATTCCTTCACCCAGCAACCCCAGTTCTAGGAATCTGTCTTAAAGATTTGGTGGCAAAAATGATAAGGCTATTTATCACAGCACTATCTATAATAGCAAAAGTCTAAAAAGGATAAAAATGTCCATCCAGTGTTGGAAGCTGAATAATCTGTTTTACATTTACACAATGAAGAATATACACTGCTTTGGAAGTGATCACCAGGATAAATGAACAAAACAAGGTAGAAAAGGATATATGTAATAATATATAATCCTTTAAGGAATGGGGAGGGGCAAATGTAATTATATTTGCTTATATTTTTAAAATGGAAAGTTTAACCTAAAACTAATAAAAATGACTTTACTAGTTTAACTGACTCAACCATTGTGGAAGTCAGTGTGGCAATTCCTCAGGGATCTAGGACTAGAAATACCATTTGACTCAGCCATCCCAGTATTGGGTATATACCCAAAGGATTATAAATCATGCTGCTATAAAGACACATGCACACGTATGTTTATTGCGGCACTATTCACAATAGCAAAGACTTGGAACCAACCCAAATGTCCAACAATGATAGACTGGATTAAGAAAATGTGGCACATTTACACCATGGAATACTATGCAGCCATAAAAAAGGATGAGTTAATGTCCTTTGTAGGGACATGGATGAAGCTGGAAACCATCATTCTCAGCAAACTATCGCAAGGACAAAAAACCAAACACCGCATGTTCTCACTCATAGGTGGGAATCGAACAATGAGAACACATGGACACAGGAAGGGGAACATCACGCACTGGGGCCTGTTGTTGGGTAGGGGGAGGGGGTAGGGATAGCATTAGGAGATATACCTAATGTTAAATGACGAGTTAATAGGTGCAGCACACCAACATGGCACATGTATACATATGTAACAAACCTGCACGTTGTGCCCATGTACCCTAAAACTTAAAGTATAATAAAAAAAATGACTTTAAGGCGATAGAAGAGACAAGGTAGAGAGATAGGAATTGAAAATAGACTTCTTGACTGGGCACAGTGCCTCGTGCCTGCAATCCCAGCACTTTGGGAGGCCAAGATGGGTGGATCGCGTGAGGTCATGAGTTCGAGACAAGCCTGGCCAATGTGGTGAAGCCCCATCTCTACTAAAAAAATATAAAAATTAGCCAGGCATGGTGGCAGGCACTTGTAATCCCAGCTACTTGGGAGGTTGAGGCAGGAGAATTGCTTGAACCCGGGAGGCAGAGGTTGCAATGAGCCAAGATTGCACCACTGCACTCCATTCTGGGTGACAGAGTAAGACTCTGTCTCAACAACAAAAAACAATGACAACAGACTTTTCTCAATAAACCTTGTTTTCTAGATTTTACTTTTAATATATAATTATAAAATAGAATTAAAAATTTTTAAATCAATGGCTGAATTGGAAGCCAAAGGAAATAAATTAATTTGCTATTATATACTACATAGAGGCAAATTATTTCAGGTAACTTTAGAACTCAGTAATCTGAAGATTCCCAGTGGGGCCTTCTTTCTCTCCAGAGAAGGAGTATTATTGATTATTCTTAGTAGTAGTATTGCTATTGTTACTCTGAACTTAATTCTAATAATTTTCCCAAAATGACAGTCTTTCAATGTATTTATGAAAAAATACGGAATGAATTCCTGATACATGCTGAAATACAGTTATGACCCTATAGTGTAAAGCAAATAAGTAATTATGTTAATGGTATTGGAAACTAAGATTTTTCAGAGCAAGAGAAAATGGGAACATGTATTAAAAATCGAGAAGCGAAAACCCCTTTTATCTTAAATTTCTGTTGGAAATATCTGTAAAACTCATTTTTTAAAGTTAAACAGTATTTTTTCTTGCTTTGCCTACTGGAATGGCCTAGAAATGACAAACAATCTGGTAGCAGCGGGCCCTCTCACACCTAGATTGTTGTCTCTAAATATCATTTGCCAGTGAAAATAATTGGCTTGATTGGGCAAGGTCAGCCTGGACCAACCTGCTATGTCAGAGGCCAGAGGGTCCTGGGGTGAGGTAAAAAGGGTTGCAGGAGGTAAAATGAAGTAGCTTTTACTATCCAGAAGATGAGACAGTCTAAAAGTAAAAGAATGAAAGTATAATAGATTAAAGCATGGCAAATTATGTTTAAATCCATGTGTTCATAATGATACTCATTACAAAATCTTTATGGATTACCTTCAGAGTATTCTGGGGAGGCAGGTTTTAATGTCAAAAACCTAATATTTTGAGAATCATATGTTTATCTCATTTTTCTATATGTACTGTAACTTATATAACCACATTGATGAGAGAAAGTTTATTTTTTGTAGAGACAGGTTCTCGCTATGTTGCCGAGGCTGGTCTTGAATTCCTGGCCTCAAGCGATCCTCCTGCCTTGTCCTCCCAAAGTGCTGGAATTACAGCTGTGAGCCACCATGCCTGGCCAGTTCTTTTTAATTGAAGAATTGCAGCTAATAAATGCAGAAGGAATAATAGAATTAGAATAGCAAAAAAAAATTGATATCTGGGCATAATCATTAATAGCTACTAAAATCATTAGGAAAGAAGCTGATATGGATTTTCCTAATGAATAGACAAAGCTGACAGTACCTAGATTCACAGACCAATATTAACATCACCAAAAAGGAAACAAGCAGGCGTTAGGTGTCTAACCTCAATTTGATCAAGTCTCGATTACTGTGCAGTCTAGTATGGTTGCCACATGTGGCTGTTGAGCACTTCAAATGTGGTTAGTCTCAACTGAGATGTGCCATAAGTTGTAAAATGCTCACTGGATTTGGATTAATATTCAAATGATGAAAGAATCTAAATATTTTATTTTTATATTGATTGTGTGCTGAAATGATATTTTGAATATATTGTTAAAAATATATTATTAGAATTAATTTTATCTGTTTCTTTCCTTTTTTATGTGACTGTTAGAAAACTTTAAAATGTATATGTGATTTGCATTGTATTTCTAATAGAAATTGCTGTTTTAAATCTAATAACCAGTTTATGGGAAACAAAAGGAAAGGGGGAACATGTTACAAGAACAAGAGCATAATTAGAAAAATTCAGAATGCAAAAAAGCTGGATGCATGCAGAAACAGCTTAGTTTCTGCAACAAATAGATGTCAAAAATATAAAAATAAAAGAGGAATGTATATGATAAGGCTTATGAAATACCTCAACAGGCACATTTTATGGACCTTGGATCCTGATTTGAACAAACTAGCTGTTAAGAGGTGGGGGAAAGGGGAAGAGGAGAGGGAGAGAGAGAAACATTGAGGGAAACTGAATATTGGTTGTTTCCTTTATGTATTAAGGTATTTTCCCCTAACTTGTATAGGTGTGAAAATGATATTGGTGCCCCGCGTAGTGGCTCACACCTGTAATCTCAGCACTTTGGGAGGCCGAGTCAGCTGGATTGCTTGAGTTTGCGACCAGCTTGGGCAACATGGCAAAACCCCATCTCTACAAAAAATACAAAAATTATCTGAGTGTGGTAGTATGCACCTGTGGTTCCAGCTACTTCGGAGGCTGAAGTGGGAGAATCACTTGAGCCCAGGAGATCAAGGCACCAGTGCACTCTAGCTTGGGCAACAGAGCAAACCCTGTCTCTAAATCAATCAATCAATCATCAATCAGGTGGGAGCTGGGGGAGTCCTCAGTTAAAAGACCCATCTGTGGGCACTGTTTCATGACTCACACCATTTGTAGCATGGGCTTATTGTTCTTAGAACATAATACATTGCCTACTGAAGAATATTGTGTCCCAGGCAGTTGCAAACTGTAGTAACATCCTTTTTTTTTCTTGTATTTATTCATTCATTTATTTCACAAATATTTATTGATGGCTTTATTTGTGCTGGGTGCTCTGATACAGTTAGGAACAAGACAAACTTGGTCTAGGTTGCCATGGGAGCTTTTAGACATAAATAATTTCATAAATATTATAGATTTATTGTGTGGGAATTGGTACAGAAACCAATGAATGAATGAACTCTGTGGTAGCGCTTAAAGATTCAGAACCTGAAAGTAGATGATATTATCACCAAATATATATTTTCATCCGTCAACATTATTTCTTCAATTAATACTTAAGTACTTATCTATGCCAGGTACTGTGATGGTGTTGGGGTTCCATTCAGTGGTTAACAGGATAGCCGTGTCACCGTGCACATAGAACTTAGTTGTTATTGGGGATATTCTGGTGCTATAGTGCTGTGAAATTGTAACAGGAGCCCATACTGGCTTCATACCAAGGTGTTTTCCATCTAGTAAAATATTTAGTTACTGTATCACCTTGAATTTGATATTTTATTATTTATTGAGCCCATAGTAAAAGTATACACTAAACATGTGCTTTACAGTATAATAATTAGCATATAATTTTCAACGTTTCAATGAACTTTTGCCATAAAATTTAAGAGGATTTTAATTGCAAGTAATAAGGTTTGCTTGTTAATAGGCTGTAGATAATTAGGGAGCTATTTGCATTCTCTCCCCACAAATTTTCTTAGTGTTCTGAGCACCACTTAATTCATAACTTTACCTCATGAGGATTAGTTAATCCCATTTAGTCACAGTAATAATAGACATGATGGTTTCTCCTCTTTAGTTCTCTCCCCAAGTTCTAATGATTCATGTGGAAGGATTATAATATGGATTAGTTTTATTTATTGTAAATAGAAGTAGACTTTTTTTTTTGGTCTTTTTGTCTAATGAAGTAAAACATCATGGTAAGTAGTACTGACATTCATGGCAGTTAATTTCAGTTTTACCAACATAAATTTTATTTTTTATAGCATTTTAACATAAACTTCAATTCAAATATTAACAGTTTACTATCTGACCAGAAACTTTTATAGGAAAGTCCTAGCATGAGTGGGTTGGTACAATTTATACATTTTGTTGTATCCTTTTGCTGACTCTGTGAGTGTTTTTTAAAATAAGAAGATGTTTACAATGCTTTTCAGTTTTGAGTTTTGAGATTCCTTACTCTATTTGGTGCTTTGTTACTTATTATATACTACTTTCATTGTTCATTTGGAAACAAATATTCATTCCAAATAACAAGTTTTAATGTCTGCTTAGAGATATTAGGAAAAAATAGAATGTTTTCTTGGTTATTAAATAACATATTACATTTTATAGAAATTGGGAAAAGTAGAAAATTTTCTCAGTTTTTAAATGCCTTATTACGTTTTGTAGATGTCCACATGTTAATATTAATAAAGCAAAAAGAAGCACTTGCCCAAATTTGTATTTCTTTCAAGCTTAAGCTGTTTGGGCCTTCTCACTAACTACTCTAGAGCAAAGAATTTAAAGCCAGAAAGGCTGGCTTTATGTGTATCCTGGCTTTGCAACTTTGAACGAGTCACTTAACCTCACCAAGTATTGGCCAGTGAAAACAATATCTATTCTAAAGGATTGTTATGAGAATAAAATAAATTAGCATATAGAAAGTGTGTGCCTGAAAAATCATATATGCTCAAGTTAAGTAGTAACTGTTAATATTAGATTTGAACGCAACCTCTTATCTATTATTGGCTCTTTTCTTAAATATTTTTTATTCTTGGAGCTCTACCTTTGGTTCACTTAAAGTGAAACACACCCGCATATTTGTAAACATTTTGAATGATACTTCATCTTGGAATAATAATTTATTCATTAAAAAATATGTATTGAGTATTTGCTAGTTTATACAGATTTCCTATTCCTCTGTTTTTTATATTTATTAAATTGGGGTAACTCAATTATATTGAGAGGATACAGTGTGATATATGTAAGTACCTGATATTAATGCTTAGTAAGTAATAGTTCCTAGTGAACTTTATTGGAGAGGCAGGATGTTTATATGAAATGTATAATGCAGGTTTAAAGGTGACATAAAAAAGGTACAAATAAAGTACTTTGGAAGTTTAGGAAGGGTAGGGCTATTGCTTGTAGCTATGAGGTCAGGGAATCCTTGACATAGGAGTTATAGATCAAAGTGTGAAGAAGAACTGGATATATGACCATGCGATGCAAAAGCGTTACTTCAGGTTGAAGGAAGATAAGTGAAAGCGTAGAAAGCAGATAGAAGAGCATGTACAGAGAACACTCAGCAGTTCTAATTGCTCATCTAGAACGAGTGGTATGTAAACCAGATTGGTGAGAAATAAAATGAGAAGGATAGGCAGGGACCTGATTGTCAAGGATCTTAAATATTGGGGCCAAGATATTTGGTCTGTTCTCTCAACCATTTTAAAATTACTGAGCCAGGAACAGTTTAAGAACTATGTTTCAGGAAGATCTTGTCATTTGTAAAATGGGTAAATGTTAGGAGAAACTGAAGGGAAGGCAGAGGCCAGAGGTATTTTATAGTTTAAGAGATAACAAGTGCCCAAACTAGGACAGTGGTGGGAGAAGAAGTGGTCTTAAGAAGGAGCAGTGACCAATGCTATAAGGTGATCAGAAGCAAAATTGTCTAAGAAAAGGGCCTTAGATTTGGAACCAAGAAGGTACTGGTTATCATAGAACTGTTTTGGTAGCATGGAGAAAGTGGGGGCCAGATTATAAAGGTTTAGGGAATGAGTGAGTGATTACTAAAGAGGAGTAAGAGAGAAGATCTCTTTTAAGAAATTTGATTATGTGGAGGAAAGTAGGAAGTTGTACTTGAAACTATAGTGTGATGGATACTCTCAGCAGAACTCATCTCTGAAAAAATAGAGGCCTCGTGGCTCTGTTTCAGCTCCCTCAACTACTTGGCATTGTCCCCAAACTTACTGTCCCCTGTAACTGTATTGCCAACGTTTTCTAAAATGCTAATAAGCTTCATCTTAAACCATAAAAACAATCTCATGGGAAAGAGACTCCTGTTTTAGCATGAGTTGGCATTTAAGGGTTCTCAATCAGAGGCAGTACTCTATCCTTTCTGGGGTAATTTAGAAATGTGGGGTGGGGGGGCATGTTTTTGATTGTCACAATGACTGGAAAGCTTGCAGACTTTTATTGTTGGAATCCAGGTAGTTAAATATCCTGTGATATTTAAGTAGAGTTCCTGTACAACCACTAAATAACAGTAGTCTGCTGCATAGTCTCTCTTTTTTTCTCCTTCAGTCAGGTTTCTTAGATCTTGAACTTTCTGCGGCCTCAACCTGTTCATCCGTCAGCCTCTTGCTGTCTGCCAGAAACTGCTCTGGCAGAGGTCTTGTGAGCTCTTCTTTGTCAAAACCACTGTATTACAATTTTTGTTTATTTATGATATTTGTTTGTGTAGACCACTTCCTTGTCAAGTTATTTTGTTCCACTGGTTTCTGGCACATCTCGCTCTTTTCTAGTTTTTTTTTTTTTTTTTTTGCTACTTGTGTTCCTTTCTCTTCTGATGTCCTCACTGCCTCCTTCTTTCTCCTAGCTCATAAATGTTGATGCTGCTTGGGTATCTCTTTATTTTCTATTACTTCTCTACATTTGCCTTATGTCCTAAACAAAGCAAAAATACCTGCTATTCTCAGAACATTGAATTACAAGTTACTCACTGGATAATTGAATATAGTAAACATTTATTGAACCTCACACTCTGCTAGGCACAGGGCCCTGCTCTCAGGAAGGATACTTACAATAGATGAGAAAGACGTATTAATAATATGTCTGATATAATATGATAAACCACAATAATAGATGTAGATAAATATCTCGATTATGGAGGGGTCTTTGAAAGTAATGACTAACTTTTTAGTTAGGCTGAGAGTGTGGTGCCAGGAAAACAATTCAGCATCACATCTTTAAGGAACTTTGAGTTGTTCAGTGTAAAGCATAAAGTAAGAGCTGAGTGTGGTGGCTCATGCCTGTAATCCCAGCATTTAAGGAGGTGGGAAAATTGCTTGAGCCCAGGAGTTCAAGACCAGCCTGGGCAACATAGGGAGACCCTGTCTCTACAACACATAATTTAAAAAAATTAGCTGGGTATGTTGGTATGCACCTGTGGTCCCTGCTACTAGGTGTGTTGGTATGCACCTGTGGTCCCTGCTACTACAGAGGCTGAGGTAGGAGGATTATTTGAGCCCAGGAGGTTGAGGTTACAGTGAGCAATAATTATGCCTTGCACACTCTAGTCTAGGCAACAGCATGAGACCCTGTCTCAAAAAAAAAAAAAAAAAAAAAAAGAAAAAGTAATCATTTTACTTTTTACAGATATAATCTGGAAAAAGGTTTTTATCTTTAGTCATAAAGCATTTTCCTACTTTAGCTTATTTTTTTTTCAGGCTATAGTCCCAGAAATAGAATGACTAAGTTAAAAAATATGAACATTTAATTCTTGATATACACATATTGACATATTCTGCAAGGCATTTGACAAGGTTTCCAGAACTGTCCTTATTATATGTGATGGAAAAATATGAACAGGAGCACCACTACTAAAATCCTGATTTTTACTAAAATATTAGTTTTACTGATTAGTAGATTAAAGGAGAAACATTTCTGGTGCTTCAGGACCATGTTCTTCGTTCTGTTAATCACTACTGTCTATGCTTTATATAAACACATACACACTGAATATCTCTTTTCTGAAATGCTTGGAACCAGAAGTGTTTCAGATTTCATATTTTTTTCATATTTTGGAATATTTGTATTATACTTACCGCTCAAACATTCCTAATCCAAAAGTCCGAAATGCTCCAATGAGCATTTCTTTTGCATGTTATGTCTGTGCTCAAAAATTTTGGATTTTTTAGCATTTCAAATTCCAGATTTTTGAATTTGGTATGTGCAACCTATAGTGAGTATGCTTATCTATTGACATATGACACAGTTGATCATTTTCTCCTTCTGCTAACACTTTGGTTATCTTGCTTCAAGATAGCATAATGTCCTACCTGATTAGACATTGTTCCACACCCTGTTGACTTCGCCTGATCAACCTTACCTTCCCAAATGGTGAATGTTTTAGTGCCCTGATACTCAGTTCTCAGGACATTTATTTATTTACCAAGTATCCCTTGTGATCTCATTCATTTCCAACGTTTCAAAAACCGCCTATTGGCCAGTGACTCCCAAATTTGTATCTTATGCTAAGATAACCTCTCCTGAATTCCAGATTTCTGTATCTAATTGGCCTAAACCACTTCTGTTTGGTAGATTTATTAAACTTAACATGTCAATACTGAACCACTCTCCAGCCTATTCATCCATAGCCTTTCCAGTTTCAGTTCATGGCAATAACTGTTATTTATCCTTCTCGTTGCTCATGCTAAAACCCTGAAGTCATCTTTGTCTTCACTCTTTCTTATATACCCCACAATATGTCAGGAAATTTTATTGGTTCTACCATAAAAATATAGCCAGAATCTGGACATTTCCCATCATCTGCTTTGCCTGGTCTAGAGAAAAATCATTATTTTCTTATATCAGAGATTGTAAAACTTTTTCTATAATGGGCCAGATAGTAAATATTTTAGATTTTTGGGTCAAAAGGCAAGATAAAGGATATTATATAAATACCTGTGTAACAAGACAGAAAGCAAATTTTAATATATTTTTATTGATAAAATTTAAAATATATCTATTGAGTACAATTTTCTGTAATGGGTTTTCTAATGAGAAGAATTTCTTTTTCTTGGGAGGGGGGCGGGTAACATTTTACTTAATTGGGGTTCATAGTTACTGTTGCCTGTCATCAAAATAGATGGCAAATATTCACCTGTTAATATGATCTATAATATTTTATGGATTTCATCTTTTAAAATATGTTTTCACACAGATAAATATTGTCAATTATTAATGTCCATCTATGGACATGGGATGTTAATTGAGCATGTTTATCTCTTGGAAGGCATTTATATAATTGTTAGATTTTTCTCTTGATTTTGCCTTTTAGCATACCGTTACATTATAGGTTAATTAGTTGCAATTGATATTTGAGTAGAAGCTCCGCAGTACCACATTTAAATGGATTTTGAAATATGGGAATTTCCTTTGCCCTTGCATCAGTATCTGAAAAATACTTCTGGGATTGAAGTTTGAGCTGGAAAATGTATTAGCTGCAAATTTGTATGACAATGACAATCTCACTTCTTTTTAACTTTTAATAGCACAGAAAAGTATATAAAGTAACTTCATATTACTTGTGATTCAAACAGTGTTGTCATCTAAATGACTTTACTGCAGTGTAAATTTCCCATATATGGGCTGTTTTGCCTTGTAATTTAGATGGAATTTATTAAGAAACATTATTATGTCTTCAGTAAAAGCTAATTTCTAAAACCATTTAGTGTGTGATAATAGTAGTTATTTTTTTCTCAGAAAAAAAAAAAAATCAGTCTATGCCCTTAGCGGAAAATCATAATAAAACCTTACCACTGTTAAGATTTTTTTTTTTCTTGAGACAGGATCTCAAGAAAAAAAAACTTTTTTTTGAATTGCTGTGTGGAAGAGCAAGTTAGTATATTCCACTTGTATTTCTGAGAAAAATGCATGGAAATGACATTGGTTAAGACCATGAAAAAAAAGTGAATGAAGTTCACCATGACACTCCTGGTTCGATAAAACATGATAAATTCCAATATTTTTTGCAGGGTACCTGAGTAATACAGAGTACTGAGTGATACAGTGACTAAGCTTATGCTTTAAATACCGTATATTTTCACAAACTTTGTAAGTTGTTCAATTTTCTCCCCCATACATACTTTTAACACCATTTGTTATAAGACATCCTAGCAGATTCCACTTCAGATGGTACTAAATTTTTGTTTTCTCAACTTTGAAAAAATCATCCGTATAGTTATTCCATGCAGATTATTCAGAGGCTCGTTTTTCAATCACTTCAAAATAGTCATTTACTCCTTGAATAAACAACAATGGAACATTATGTAGGTAACATCTGTGATCTCATCAAGAGCCAAGGAAAACCATTTGGAATCATTTGCTTTATTTATTTATTTTTAATTGTCTATTGATTTTGCTTCAATGTCCTCAACTCCTTAAGCAACTGTTTTCACTGAAAGGCTATAATATTCTTAAACAATTTTGTTTTCTCTGGATACAGTTCTTTGGCTGTCAAATGAAACTCAGTTTAATTAACTTACCATCTGTAAATGACTTTTTTTGCTTGACTAACAAAAGAATCACTCAGAAGCTTGCTTTAATTGCAGCCTTATTTTCATTTTTAATTTTTCTGAAGAGATTCTGTTTTGATGAGATAATTTGTTTTAAATTTTCTAAGTTTTTCACTGCTGCATTCCTATGCATTAGCAATATTATAATGAGTGCTTTGTTTGGTAATATTGATGTGTATTATATTTTAAAATCACTAGCTATCGTGTTACTGCATACTAAACAAAAATGCTTTAACATTTAATTCTAAAACAAAATAATTCAGACTCCACTATGCCTTTAAAAACATGTTATTTAAAGTCTACGTTTCTCTTTTTTATGTTTTAATACCATGGGTACACACTGGTAATAAGAAAATAAAAATAAAATGTGGTATGGCTATATGTGTGACATTTGAAACACGGTCATCTATAGCTACATTAGTATGATCTGAAATGTGCTGAGCATCAGTGCTAAGTGATGAGAGCACCACGTACTCTGCTTTTGTAGTGCAAAACCAGCAGATAGTACCTAGACAAATGAGTATGGCTCTGTTCCAATAAAAATTTATTCATGGAAGCTTAGATATGAATTTTATATAATTTTCACATCATGAAATATCTTTTTTTCCAATTATTTATGAATTTACAATCCATTCTTAGCTCATAGGCTATGCAGCAACAGTTTGCTGATTCTTACTTTCCTAATGCCACTTTTATCTCTTTATCCTATATTACAGCTAAACTATCTTTTTGAAATGTACAAAGCCCTGGATGATCTGATCTTAGATGAGCACTAGATCATTTTGCTCTGACAACACTGGACTGCTTGCTATTACTTGAGTAAACATACCATGCTCCTGTATTAGAACTTCTGCACATGTTCTTCATGCATGCAGCATTTTTGTCCAAATGTCAATATAGCTTACATATCCTCTTCATACAGGTTATTTACTCACATGTCATCTTTGCCCATTCTTCTTCCACCTACTTTCCTATGTCAGCCTTTTCTTATCATCTATGTGCCTCCATCACTATCTCTTAGCCTGCATTAACATGGTAAAGTTATTTTTTCATAATACTTTTTATGACATTTTATTATAAATTAATTTTTTCTTTGATTGCTAATTTCTTCTGTTTACTGGTGTCTCCTTAGTGCTTGGCATATGGTAGATATTCAGTACATATTTGTGGAATAAATAAATGAACTCTAATGGTCTGCATTTTCCTAAAATGGAATGGTTATTCATGACAGATCAATTTTTTTCTTCATTTAGATATGCCCAGCCTGGAATTGGACTACTTGTGCGTTGAAGTTGTTATTTGAAATCTTTATGTTGGTTGAAATGGATAAAATAGGGGGAACTTTAAATTTCCCTTCAAGAGAGTCTATGTACAAAATTTTTATGTGGGTTAAATGAAAGATACAGGTCCTGCACAAATCACTAGAATATTAATTTTTTTAAGTGTCATGTTAAAGCTACATTTCAATAATGATGCGAATATAACATTACATTTTTCTATTCCAATGCTTTAGAATTTGAACATTTTTTCTTTGAGAGTAATTCTTTTGCCTCCTTATGTGTGTGTTTGTAACCATAATAAACAACATTTGCTATATAAAACATCTACTTCAATACAGTTTAATTATCTGTCTTATAACTGTGAAGTTTTATTTGAGTTGATTTGACTACAAAACATTGATTTTGAGGAAATCTTGATATCTTATTGAATTTAGATTAAATAATATTTTTCAATATATTATATGCAGAGTAAAATGTAAAAGTAACAGAATTGATCTGCATTGTGATTTTGCTTGTGTATATTGCCATGTTTCACATAACCCTTCATCTAATTACACCATTTCATTTAAGATTTGTTCTGGAAAAGTAACATTTCTTTCCTATTAATATATTTTCCTGTACTCTTCACAGCTATTATGTCTATTACATCATTTCACATGTTACTGTTTACCTTAGAAAATGGAATATGAATATTTTAGTATTAATTTATGGAAAACCAAAATACCATTCTTTTCTTTCATAAAAGAAAGAGTAACAACTAATTTTAAAAGCTTATCTTTATCTTTCTTTTTTTGATGGCCTAGTATGTTATACCATTCTCCCGCAACTTTCTATTTTTTGTGCATAAGAAAATACTATGTAGAAATACCAAACAACAAGAACAAATAATAAACCACAACTTTGAAATACATGCAGAATTTACATATGAATGTATTCTTGTGCTTTTGAATTGCTCATTGGTGTGTCTTGATGCAAAAGTGAGATTTCATATTTTACAGGTAACATATTTTACTAATCAAAATGTCCAAAGCAATTTCAATTTTTTGTTTAAAACTTAGAATACTGTATTAATTGTATTAGTATAAGACAGTGCTGTAAATTAAATTTGACTCAGTAGTTTAAAATATGACAGTGTAGCAAAATACTTATTTTAATAAATAAAGTTTAGATAGCAAATACCATCCAGTGTGTAATAAATAAACATTGGTATTAACCTTTATTCATGAGAGGCAGTAATAGCCTCATGCTTCACTTATTTCTGTACTTTCAAAGTGATTTGCTTGATCTGATAAATTATGCAGTCTTGCATTTTGACCTCATAACCCTTTAGAGTTTACTTAAATTGACACTAATGTTTGCCACATTAGAGCATAATGACTGTAACCAACTCCTATACCCCTAAACTAATTCTTGCCCTTGTGCATATAAAGAAGAACATATAAAGGTATTGATTGATGTGATGTTTAGATAGTTCCACTTGAACTTAAACATTGAAGGGCTAAAATGTTTTTAATCTTTTTGCTGCAAAGAAAAAAAAGAAAATAGGCAAATGAAACCTTATTTGCAAATTTATTCTCCTATTTTAACTGTGTGAAAGATGCTGAGATTCTGCTTAATAAAGAAATGAATGTCAAGACTGACTACATTATTTCCATCATGACATATTTAGAAGAGTTGTGATTCCTGTGTTTTTGTGGAGTAAATTAGAATTTGATGCCATTATGTATTTAGATATATGTAATTAATGTCTAGAATTTCAGAAAAGAAAGTTAGAATATGAAGAGAGTGGAAAATTAGTTAAATATTCATTGAATCAACAAATATGAAAAACCAATGATAAAAATTGTTAGGGAATATAAAAATTTCTTATTACATTTTGAGGATATTGAGGATTCATGGGAATGTTAAGCATATAATTAATTATATTACTGCGAAATGTGTATGGTAAAAAGTCTGAATGTAAGCTTTTGGATCTCTGTGAAATAGGACATAGATTTGAGGAGGGTCTAGAGTAGGATGTCACACAGTATGTGAATTCCAGACGGACAAAAGATGGGGACAGGAATGATGATGGGAAGTCATGGTAGAATAGGGAGTAGGTGATGCAAGGCATTGCCATGAGAAAATATGAAAATTTTGAGAAAGTCCAGAAAGCATGGTTTAGACATATAATATGTGATAGAGAGTGGTTGTAGACAAATCTAGAAACAGATAAAAGCAGGTCATAAGCGATCCTAAATGCCATGGTGGAGAATTTGGAATTTTTCTGTAGGATAGTAGGAACTTAAGTATCTTGATCCTATTTTATATCCTGGATAATAATTTTTTTTAAAGGAAAAGCAGTAACATTTCGACAATAAGTAAATTATATTGGATGGGAAGTTCAAGTGATGGAGACTAGATAGGAGGCTGTCAAAAGACACTAGACCAGAGATAAAAGGAGTATTAACTATGGCAGTGCCAGAAATTATGGTGAGCAGGAGATATATTTAGGAGGTAGCATAATGTAATGCTATAGTTCTTCACCCTCTGAAATTTAACATGCTCTTTATATCACAGGTAGTTTGCAATTATTCCTTATCTATGAGTTTTATTTTTGAATAGTAAATAGACCTTTTCTAGATAAATAATATTAATCAACAGTGCTCTATACCATAACAAGAGAAATAAAATATTTAAAAATATATGTAGTATGCATTTCATTGTTCCATAAGTACGAACATAACTATGCTAAAAGACATAATTGGATGCTTGTATTTATATATAGGTCACTGTGAATGTGACAGGTACAAATCAGACTGATAGAGGTATGATGTATGATTTGTCCTGCTACAAGGGATGTGTGATTGTCTATAATGTGATTTTTCTAAGTGGTGAATAGATACTGGTGTAGTACTAAGCAGACAACATTCATTTTTACCTTACTTTACACAATGATTGCATTTTTTGAAATTAAAAATAAATTGGGGCCGGGCGTGGTGGCTCATGCCTGTATTCCCAGCATTTTGGGAGGCCAAGGCGGGTCGATTGCCTAGGTCAGGAGTTCAAGACCAGCCTGGCTAACATAGTGAAATCCCATCTCTACTAAAAATACAAAAAATTAGTTGGGCATGGTGGCAGGCACCTGTAATCCCAGCTACTTGGGAGGCTGAGGCAAAAGAATCGCTTGAACCCGGGAGGGGGAGGTTGCAGTGAGCAGAGATCATACCATTACACTCCAGCCTGGGCAGCAAGAGCGAAACTCCATCTAAATATATATATATATATATATATATATATATATATATATATATATATATATATACACACACACACACATATATATATATATACACACACACATATATATATATATATATATATATATATATATATATATATATATATTTGGGGCATAGGCTCAGATTATCTTCTAGTTTGTCACTTTCACTGATATACAGTAGAACATTCTAAAGTAATGTAGGATCTAGGACCATTATTATTATTGAACTATTCTTCTTGTGGAATGTCTAGAATTTTTTTTTTTTTTTTTTTTGCTCCTTCTGCCCACTAAATCATTGTAGCACTCAGTCATTTGTGACAACCAAAACTTTCCTTGCAGATTTCTATTATTCACTCTAGGGAACAGTTCTGAATCTGTTGAGTACCACGGGTGGGGTAGAAAGTGCATTATTTTTAGATAGATTAATTTAGATCTCATTATTCCCACGTTTTGCTTATGTGTTCTTTTTTTTCTTTGTTTTTTTTTTTCTTTTTTTTTTTTATTATACTTTAAGTTTTAGGGTACATGTGCACATTGTGCAGGTTAGTTACATATGTATACATGTGCCATGCTGGTGCACTGCACCCACTAACTCGTCATCTAGCATTAGGTTTATCTCCCAATGCTATCCCTCCCCCCTCCCCCCTTCCCCTACCCCACCACAGTCCCCAGAGTGTGATATTCCCCTTCCTGTGTCCGTGTGATCTCATCGTTCAATTCCCACCTATGAGTGAGAATATGCAGTGTTTGGTTTTTTGTTCTTGCGATAGTTTACTGAGAATGATGATTTCCAATTTCATCCATGTCCCTACAAAGGACATGAACTCATCATTTTTTATGGCTGCATAGTATTCCATGGTGTATATGTGCCACATTTTCTTAATCCAGTCTATCATTGTTGGACATTTGGGTTGGTTCCAAGTCTTTGCTATTGTGAATAATGCCGCAATAAACATACGTGTGCATGTGTCTTTATAGCAGCATGATTTATAGTCCTTTGGGTATATACCCAGTAATGGGATGGCTGGGTCAAATGGTATTTCTAGTTCTAGATCCCTGAGGAATCGCCACACTGACTTCCACAATGGTTGAACTAGTTTACAGTCCCACCAACAGTGTAAAAGTGTTCCTATTTCTCCACATCCTCTCCAGCACCTGTTGTTTCCTGACTTTTTAATGATCACCATTCTAACTGGTGTGAGATGGTATCTCATTGTGGTTTTGATTTGCATTTCTCTGATGGCCAGTGATGATGAGCATTTTTTCATGTGTTTTTTGGCTGCATAAATGTCTTCTTTTGAGAAGTGTCTGTTCATGTCCTTATGTGTTCTTAAGTATTCTCTGAACCCCAGTTTTGTGTTCTTGAAAATAGCATTTTATTGTTAAAAGTAAATGAGGTCCCTCATAAATATAGGTGAGAAATCTTTAAGCCAACAAAAAGAATAAAATACCAGGAAGTATAATGTTGGTACACTGAAAACTATAAAGCTTTACTGAGAGAAATTAAAGAGAAATTGATAATAATTAAAGAAGTTGGCCGGGCGTGGTGGCTTACGCCTGTAATCCCAGCGCTTTGGTAGGCTGAGGCGGGTGGATCACGAGGTCAGGAGTTCAAGACCAGCCTGGCCAACATGGTGAAAACCTGTCTCTACTAAAGATAACATTAGCCAGGCATAGCGGTGCTTGCCTGTAATCCCAGCTTTTCGGGAGGCTGAGGCAGGAGAATTGCTTGAACCCAGGAGGCAGAGGTTGCAAAAAAAAAAAATAATTAAAGAAATTGTAAACAAATAGAATATTATGCAGTATAATGTAGGATGCTAGTATGCCCCAAACTGATCTATAGATTCAATATAATCCCCTATGTAAGTTTCAGAATTTTTTTAATAGAAATTGGTAGTCGGAACCCAAAAGATAAATGGAAATACAAAGGTCCCAGAAGAGCTGCATTAGTAATCTGTTGCTTTGTTACAAATCACTCTAAAGCTTAACAGCTTAACACGTCATGCACTTATTATTTCATAGTGCAATGGGTCAAGAATCCAGGCACTATTTAGCTGTTTCCTCTGGCCCACCATCTCTGATATGGCTTTAGTCAAGGTGTCCGCAGGCTGGGTTCTCATCTGAAGGCTCAACTGGGAAGTATCCACTTTCAAGTTCACTTATGAAGTTGTCAGAATTTAATCCTTTGAGGGCTCTTGGACTAAGGCCCTGAGTTCTTTGCCACAGGGACTTCTCCAGTATGGTGGCTTACTTGCTTCATCAAAGCCATCAAGAGAGAGGAGTCATCTAGCAAAATGGACATCACAGTCATTTGTAACCTAATTTTTGGAGTGACATCCCCTTGATGTTGCCATATTTCATTGGTTAGAAGCAAATTACTCAAGGAGGGATTGTCAAGACCATGAACACTAGGAGGCAGGGAGCATTTACGGGCTATGTTGGAGCTGTCTGTCACAACAGCCGAAACAATGTTGAAAAAGCACAACAAAATTCAGTATATACACTACCTAATTCCAAAACTTAAAGATACAGTAATTAAGACACCATGCTATTAGTATAGGATAGCTGTATAGATCAATGGAACAGAACAGATAATCCCAAAATAAACCCCAGTTTTTTGTGGCAAACTGATACTTGCCAATGTACCACTGTAACACGATGTGGAAAGCTTAGATTTTTTTTTTAGAAGGAATAATTCAACTTCATTACTAATGTCAGAGATCCATATGCTTCCTACAGGTATTTATTATATAATTATGAGAATAATATATTTTTACTGTAGAAAATATAAATACACGTAAGATGAAAAGAAGAACAAAAAATTACCTTTAATCACACCATCCTTTCCAAGCCACTGTTAATGTTTTAGTCTAGTCCCTTCTAGACATATTATTGGCATCAAAAAATAAACTTAAGCCAGGTGTGATAGTTCACGCCTGTAATCCCAGCATTTTGGGAGGCAGAGGTGGAGGATTGCTTGAATTCAGAAGTTTGAGACCAGCCTGAGCAACAAAAGTAATACTTCATCTTTATACAAAATTTAAAAATTAGCCAGGTGTAGTAGTGCATGTCTGTGGTGCCAATTACTTGGGAGGCTGAGGCAGAAGGATCGCTTGAGCCTAGGAGGCTGAGGCTGCAGTGAATCGTGATTGTGTCACTGCACTCCAGCTGGGCAATAAAGTACTGGGATTACGGGCATGAGCCATCGTGCCCAGCTGGATATATTTCCTAGCTTTGTCCACTGAGGGGGCCTGGGAATAGTGACATCCTGGTAGCAATGAATGCACCTAAAGCCTTGATCTTCTCCATTGAAACCAGGGCTCTGTGGAGCAATGGCTACTTCCAGGACTGTGGCAGGGAAACTATAAGATGAGCTCATAGCACCTTTTTGTGCTAGAATGTAAAGAAGTGCTCAAAGAATGATGGAGACATGTAAGAAGGAAAAAGAATCAGCTTGAAAAGAATCCCACTGGCCAAATCAGTGAACAGTCAAACGTCAAAATAGATAATATTATCTAATAGATAGCAATAAATTATAATCCGTTGAATAAAATAGAAGATCATACTAATATAAATAAATGAACAAATGGAAAGTTTGATGAAGATCAGAAAATTTGCATAGTTCCAAAGTACCTCCTCAAAAAATATTCATTAATTACAAAGGGAGAAAGAGTAATTCACGTAAAAAAAAAAAAAAAAAAAAGCTTGGTAGGTACCATGTCATCAAGTGATCAAAATGGACATCATTAGTAATTAGAGAAACTGAAACCATGTGCTTCCTTTTAGGCTATATCTATTAAGAAGATCATAGTATCACTCTGTGATATGCCCAGAGTGCCTAGTCTGAGTCTAATCATGTAGAAGAAATGTAGAAGAAATATGAGTTAAACCCAAATTGAGGGACATTCTACAAAATAATTGACCTGTAATCATCTAAATGTCAGTGTCTTAAAATTTCAGGAAAGACTATAGAACTATTCTGCCAGATTGTTAGAGAATAAAGAGACATAATAACTCAATGCCAGACATGATTCTCAGCTGTGTCATCTTGCTATAAGGATTACTGGGGTAATTAGTAAAATTTGAGTGGTGCTTAAAATCGGAAGGTAATAATGTATCAGTTTTAGTTTCCTGACTTTCAGTTATATTATTATTATGTAGAACAAAGTCCTTGTTTATAGAAAGTATCTGTTGTCAATGGGGCATCATGTTACCATTTTCCACTTTTCTACAAATTTGAAACATTTTCAAAATAAAAAAAGAAATAAGGTTTGCCCTCTCCATAAGAATTTAACAAGTTCATATACAACAAGCCTTAAAACCTGTGGAGATGAAAGACAAACCCTGGTAGGAAGAAGAGAGATGGTTGGGGGTGTTATGTGTTAGAGGCAGAGAGGGAAAATGGTGGAGAGAATAATGATAGTGGTATGGAAATATAGAAGAAGGAACAAGTTAGAAATAGGATACTGTTTTTAATATTGGGACACATTAACATATATTTGGGTAAGCAAAATGGAAATGTTATTAAACAGTTTGAAAACGCAGTCTTATGAGAAAAATCTGGAGTAAAGAGTTGAGATTTGGTACCATTGTCACATAGGTGATGGTTTTAGTTGCAGGAGTCATGCTGATATTCCTGGTTTGTAAGAAAAACAGCCTTATGGTAGAATCTAGGAGCAGAATTTGAAAGGAAAAGTAGAGAAGCTGTGGAGGCTAAAGAAACTCCGTCTCGGATGCTAATCTGCCATGTTGACTTCTGATTAACCTCTGTTCTGGAAATGCCTCTAAGATTTCTACTTTTATCTATTGTTACCATAAATCCTGCCCCAGGTCCAAACAACCTTGATCATAAATCCCCCGCTTAGGCAGATTCACATAGCATGCTTGCCTTTCCCTGAGAGGTCAACTTCAATTGTCCTACACATTCTTTCTCTATGGTATATACGCCCTGGGTCTAGGGGGCAGTGGTGCAGGGATCCACCCTCTAGAGTCTTATGACTGCTTAAGACTACGGCTTCTGTTTTAAGTCCCTATTAAATGTTTCTTTCTGAGAAACTGTATTTATCAGCCTCTTTGTTTGGTCAGTTAGCTTCCTCCACCTTTAGGGGTATGTTTGCAAATGCCTGTCCACTGCAGAACAGAAGCCAAGATTCAGAAAGGAAAATGAGGGAGAAAAACAGGTGAGACTATATTCTGGAATCTGAAAAAAGAATGCAAAGAAGAAATATATGAACAGGTAGTGTCAGATCCTTCACAATAGTATTGTGTGGGATAGCTTATTACTGTTCAAATGGACGTCATGAATTGAATTTATAGTTACCTTCTTCATCCCTATTCATACTGCTTCCTTAAATCCTATGGTTACTTGAATTTTATCTTGTTCATTGAATAAGATAAAAAAATTTAATTGGCTTTTATCTTATTGATTGAATAGTCAGTGAATATTCACCTGTTATGTGCCAGTCACTATGCTATGCCTCAGAGCTCCCATAATAAACAGAAGTGGACATGTTCCCAGTTTACATAGATTTCATTATCCAGAAGGAGAGACAGCTATTAATATTATAAAACAGATACAAATTTACTGTTGTGAAAATGCTATGAAGAATGACAAAACTGAATGATGAATGCCTTCAATTGATATCTAGTTAAAGAGCTCTGGTAAGTTATCTTTGAAGTAACAATTCAATTGGAATTTGAAGAGTTAGTAGGAGGTAGCTAGATGAAGACGGGAAAACTCCATTCAGAGATGGAGTTTTGCTCTTGTCACCCAGGCTGGAGTGCAATGGTGCGATCTTGGTTCACTGCAACCTCTGCCTCCTGGTTTCAGGTGATTTTCCTGGCTCAGCCATCCGAGTAACTGGAATTACAGGCACCCGCCACCACGCCCAACTAATTTTTGTATTTTTAGTAGAGATGGGGTTTCACTATGTTGGCCAGGCTAGTCTCGAACTCCTGACCTCAGGTGATCCACCCACCTCGGCCTCCCAAAGTGCTGGGATTACAGGTGTGAGCCACCGCATCCGACCAGCAGAGGTATTTAAACAAGAAGCCTGAGTACAAGGACCAGAAGAAAGGTTATATAGCTGGAACGTGGATAGTGAGTGGATGTGTGTACTGTGGAGATATTGATAGTAGCCAGATTACACGAGGCCTTATGGCCATATTGGGTGCTTTTCTAAAGAGGAATAAGGAGCCATAAAGATTTTATGATGGAAAGGATGGGGAACATGATTAGTGTTATGCTCTGAGAACCCCCTGACTGCAGTGTGTAGAACAAAGATTGTGTAGACTTGCACAACTGGATGAACTACGATGCCTTTCACATTGAAGGGGACTAATTGTGGGGAAGGTCATTAATTTGGTTTTGACTGTGTTGAAATTGAGATGGATTTATTCATTCATTTATTCAACAACTATTCAGTAGTGTGTCAGCCATTGTCTAAAGATTTGGGGATTAGACAGTGAACAAAAGAAATGAAAATCACTGCCTTCACTGAATTAACATTATTACAATATTTAGCACTCAAGAAGTATTTCTTATATGCAAAGCACTATTGTAAGCACTTTAAATATTGTTTTATATAATCTGCCCAACAACCTTATGAATTAGGTTCTCTTTTTATTGTTATTCTCATTTTATAGGTAAGGCAGTTGAAGTACAGAGATGTTAAATGTCTTGTTCACACAGCTAATAACATAGCTAATAACTGGCAAACCCAGAATTTAAAAATACTGTGTTTGATTTCATGTTCTTAACTGCTAAACTATATAGCAAGTAAACATTTAGATATATGGCTCTAGAACTCAAAAGGAGATTTTCGCTGGGTATATAAATTTTGGAGTTCACATACATGTGGGTAATTATAGCCAAAAGTTTGGATGAGATCATAGGATGAGAGAATATAGGGTGAGAAAAGGAATGGCCTAGAAAGAAACTCTAACTTAGTGGCTAAGATGATTAGGTATAAAAACTACAGAGCTTATAGACTTGGAGGGGGAAAAATATAAACAGGCAATGATAAAGTAGTTGAATAACTGCTATGATGCAGCAAGTATAAATTGCTGAGATCAAAATTACCTGTAGGAGCTGACATCTAAGCTGAGACTTAGTTGTTGGATGATAATTGGTAGCAGGCAGATAGGGTGAAACATGGTTGGTGGGGAAGATGCCACAGGACAGGGGCAACATGAGAGAGTACACATGAGAGAGAGATAGGAGGAGAGCTAGGATAAGCCCATGGGATGGAAAGTAGTTCATTGTGGTTGAATAATGTTTTTGGGAGCACCAAGCCTAATGGTGTCTAATTTTTAAAAAAATCTTATTTGACTTGTTTGCTTCTAGTTCTCTTTTGTTCTGATGACTCTGTCTCTTATTAATTATTAAATAGTGCATGCAACAAGTTTTTATTGAATACCTACTCTGAGCAAGGCTCTTTGCCAGGCATCACTGTAACAGGGATTAGCAAGATGAGCATTGTGTCCTTGGAGCTTGCTTTTGCCTAATTCTGCTATTTAGAGTTGTCCCAGAAAAATTCTGTTGCTGGTATTTTTCTTTTTCTAAATTAGTTCTTTTGTGATCCTAATCTCTGCTAGCACCTCAGCCATCACTTTTTTTTTTTTTTTTCCTTGAGACAGAGTCTCACTCTGTCTCCCAGGCTGGAGTGCAATGGCATGATCTCTGCTCACTGCAACCTCTGCCTCCTGGGCTCAAGCAATTCTCCTGCCTCAGCCTCCCAAGTAGCTGGGATTACAGGTGCCTGCCACCATGCCTGGCTAATTTTTGTATTTTTAGTAGAGAAGGGGTTTCAACATGTTGGCCAGGCTGGTTTCACACTCCCGACCTCAAATGATCTACCCGCCTTGGCCTCCCAAAGTGCTGGGATTATAGGCTTGAGCCACCACGCCCAGCCCAACCATCACTTCTATACAGGAATCTCAAATCAACACTCTGATCTTTACCTCTCTTCTTAGTTCCACATCTCTGTTTTCAGAACCTTTTTGATTTTTCCATGTGGATGTACTTCTGGCCCCTCAAACTCAACATGTCCCAACTAAATTCATCTCTGTTTGCAAGTCTCTCCTCCTTCCGGTGTTTTCTGTTTTTATTAATGGCATCAGTATTGGAATCTAACTTAAAACCTTGGATTCATATTCAACAGTCTCCTCTCTTTCATATCCCTCACCTGTAAGTTTGGTAAAGATTAATAAGGCCAGTATTAACTCAGTGTTAATGACATTTGGGATATACACATTCTCATATGGAAGAGTATATTGCTGGTACATTTTTGGAAGGTGATTATGTAATACATATCGAAATTTAAGACAATTTATTCTCATCTTAAAACATTTTCATATATGCCATTCATGCAGAGGGTCTTGTGGTTTGCTTCAAAATGATAAATCAATTTTTCCTATATAACTTAACATGTTCCTAAATTGGATGCCTTCCACTCCAATTTTCTCATAAATTACTCCTAATGTTTTATACTCTCATTCCGAGAAACAAGTCCCTTTTTTGGTGTACTACATACTAATAAAAATGTTAGGAATGGTAGTAGTAGCAGCAGCAACTTAATGTTACTAGTTAGAGATCCCTTTACTAAGTCCATATATCTTGTTAAATTACCTTATAAGATAGATAATATTATCCTCTCTGCATTTACTTTTTTTTTTTTAAAGATCAAGAATAGTCTAAACTCTGAAATCTTTAAAGCAAGTGTTGAATATTGCCACTATTTCTAGGAGAAATTAAAGGATAAAATAAAGCCAAAGAAAATATTTTAAGGACTATCTAACTTTACAAAACTCTTGGTTCTCTTCAAATATTTGTATTAATATTTTAATGTTTTTACAGACATTATGTTTGTACAAAACCCATTGACACACTAGGTTATGACACTGTTTCTAATTTGTTTTAATTAAAATACAAATTTAAGAGTTTTTATAGGTGGTTAAGATAGTTTTAGGCAACAAAAATCACATAATGATGGAAATATTTCTAAACATCTCTTTCCATAGTATGTTTTTCTAAGGTAGTTACCTTAGAGTTAAAATGCTACCTTTATGTTAAAGGTATATATTTTATGTGTTTATTTTCAAATAGCTGTTTCAGAGCTTGTTGCAGTGCACTGCCACAGAAAAGTTTAGCAAATTTGGAATAATTGGCTTTTTAAGATAATTGAGTATTATCATACTATTCAACCATTATTAGGTAATTTCTGGTCACTTTTTATCTTATTGCAAAGTATTCTAAATACTGTATTTGTTTAAAACAGTGTAATCTGTAAACCTGTTTAAGTAGACATAAACTACAGTATGTGTTAATATGAGAAAATTGCATATCACATATGACATGATTACTGATATTCAGACTGAATAAGGATGCCAGAATTAAACTATATATTAAATATTAATAAAGCTCAATTTCTGACTTTTTTCTCTGCAATTATCTTCCAACATCCAGATGAATTATGTTATGTATCCCCTTTGGGCATCGCTGCTGTAAGGGATGTAGTGCTATTGAAATTTGTGGAGTAAACTATTGATGTCAACACATCTTTTTAGGATAGATCATTCTGGTAGTTCTTTTTGATTATAGATTTGAAGAAGAAAAACACTGCCAATAGTGAAATCATAGGTGTTATAATAACAGTAGACTAGGCATGAGATATGGCAGAACTGTGGTAGTGGGCATGGATTGAAAATTATTTAGGAAAAAACAATTGAAAGTTCATTGTAAGAAGCTTAAGGAGAGGGAGGGTTCAAAGATGATATACAGGCTTTGTGCTTGGGTGATTCTGTGGATAACTGTGTCAACATGATGGGGGTGGAATTACAACAGAAGGGAGCTGGGTTTGCAATATGTTTTTGTTGTTGTTGTTGTTTTTTGATACTGAGTTTTGCTCTTGTTGCCCTGGCTGGAGTGCAATGTCGTGGCCTTGGCTACTGCAACCTCCGCCTCCAGGGTTCAAGTGATTCTCTTGCCTCAGCCTCACAAGTAGCTGGGATTACAGGTGCCCACCACCATGCGTAGCTAATTTTTTGTATTTTTAGTAGAGATGGAGTTTCATCATGTTGGCCAGGCTGGTCTGGAACTCCTGACTTCAGGCAATCCATGCAGCTCGGCCTCCCAAAGTGCTGGGATTACAGGCGTGAGCCACCATGCCTGGCTTGCAATATGTATTTCTTTATATACCTTTTTATTGTTTTATTTTGTTTACACAGGGTCTTGCTCTGTCACCACCCAGGCTGTAGTACAGTAGTGTGACCTTGGCTCACTGCAACCTTCGCCTCCTGGGTTCAAGTGATCTTCCTGCCTCAGCCTCCCAAGTAGCTGGGACTACAGGCATGTGCCACCATGCCCTGCTAATTTTTGTATTTTTAGTAGAGGTGGGGTTTCACCATGTTGGCCAGGCTGGTCTCGAACTCCTGACCTCAAGTGATCCACCTGCTTTGGCCTCCCAGAGTGCTGGGATTACAGGCATGAGCCACTGTTCCTGGCCTATACCTTTAAAAAAAGGAGCTATTTTATAATTGGTGGGCCGTTGTAGTTTATACTTACATTTTTAGTATTTTAAGATTGGCAGAATATAGTTCTAAAGAAACAGTATTGGAATGTTTTCCTTTACTTCCTTAACCCATTACATTGACATTTTGAGGCTGGATGCAGTGGACCACAACTGTAATCTCAGCACGTAGTGAGGCTGAGGCAGGAGGATTGCTTGAGACCAGAAGTTTGAGACCAGCCTGGGCAATATAGTGAGATCTGGTCTCTACAAAAGAACAAAAACAAAAACAAAACAGCTGTGGTGACATTGAGCTGTAGTCCCAGTTGCCTGGGGGATGAGGCAGGAGGATCATTTGAGCCCAAGAGTTTGAGGCTACACTGAGCTATCATCAAGCCACTACAGTCAAGCTTGGGTGACAGAGACCCTTTCTCAAAAACAACAGCAAAAATTTTGAGAGGAATGACTTAGAAGTGTATATTAATACTTGTTATCCATTTAAAACTTAGTGTTGATTAGCCAACATGATATGAGTTTTTGAAATGACATTAACAGTAGCTCAACAAAGAAATACAGAAATCAAGTACATCTTTTTGAACTAGTAGGTTTTATTGCCTTATGTTCAATGGAAGTAACAGGTTAAAAGAAGGACTCATGGTTCAGAGATACTTCTTTCTTTCAAAACTTTAACACTTCACCATGCAGATTATAAATGATGATTTTTCCTTTAGAAACTGACTTGCTTTAAAATGATGTATGAAATAATATGTGTTTTGCATGTCCTGTTGTAATGATAAAGGTCATATGGTATCATTTACATAATCTCTAGCCAGGAATGAACTCAGTAATATCGTTGGTATAACATATACATTATCTGAGGTTTAAAACTCATTATTCGTGAAAGTTAATTTTACAGTGGGTGTGAATGATCTATCTTATGGCTGTTTTTTGATCATTCTATAAAATAATATGGAGCAAAGCCTGCTCAAATAACAAGAAAACCAGTAAAGAGTGATGCATTTGCCTGACTCTCTCTATACCCGATTGGATCTTGATTGATGGCAATCATTTGTCTTTGTCAAAAAAAGGAGAAAAATTCAGACATTGAAATAGGAGTGCTATCAAACTTTCTACAATGGCAGAAAGATTCTATTAATGTGGCCTTAGAGTATTAACTGTCTCTGTTGGGAAATGATAAAGAATGTTAATTTTTTTCCTTGAGCATATTCAAGTGTAAAATGCATTATTTTGTCAACTGTTGGGATTAAAAGAAGAATACTTTTGATTTATGGTATATTGGAATTGATGAAAGCAAAAAAAGCTTAAAAGCTTAACATGGCGAAAAAGGAAATAGATCTTAATCCTTTTTATTATTACAATTTTTCTCAATGAAATAATAAAAATTTAGTATAGTGTCATAAAATCTTTACTACTGCATTCCATCTGATAATGGACCTTGAAAAGTTGACTTCAAAGAGGGTCAAAGTAGAAGGGGAAACATATTTTTAACTGAATGTTTTATTCCTTAGAATTCTCTTTTCTTCCTAAATATTAGGGCAAAAAAGACATTCCAGTACTTTATATTTTTACATCTATTAAGTAGTCTTATGATTTGGAAATGTAAAAGGAATGTAAGAACTGTAATATTTGAAAAGAATTGGTAATATCATTTTGCATCAAGACTAATTCCAACCTTGCATAATTTGTTGCAACAAGAAATATATCTTACATATTATTATGTAAATATTTCATATGTCTTATGAGGGCTGAATATACTTTCTATTTAGTTTTGGGAATTTGCTTTCTTTTAATTACAGTATTTTAGATTGCTAATTTTGACCTTAATTTTAAAGTCATGTTTGAAAATAATTCAAAATTCAAGTGATGTTCTATAGAAAATATTTTCAAGATTAACTACCCTTGTGTTTATACTAATAATGATTTAACATTTATACCATAAAAATAGAACTAAGTTAAGCCTTGTTATATGTCATTTATTGTAGAATTTTTTTGTCAAAGTACCTTAGAATATTATATTGAAGTTTTGTTATTTGCATACTTATTAATTTTCAGCACACAGTCAGGAGTACCTTAGAATATTATATTGAAGTTTTATTATTTGCATACTTATTAATTTTCAGCACACAGTCAGGCTCTCATTTTGTGTTTTGTTGAAATAGGACCAGGAATACTGAGCAGCCCAAAATGACTTGTATGTAGCTTTAAAATGTGCTTTAGTTTTTTTTCAGATTTGTTTTCCTAAGGCTAATATGAGATGTTGAGCATAAACTTACATTTTGTTTTACAAAACTATATGACTGAAAAATTTGCCCTTGCCAATATGTTCTGATAAATGAAAGGTGATTATTTTACATTAACATAAGTGTTGCCATCTTGATGTATGTATGATTTTAGAAGAAGTGAGTTACTGTTTTAAAAAAAGAATATTATCTTTTAAAAAAGAATGTATTGTCTTTCAATTTGAATCAAATATAAGTAATTAATCACAAGTTATATAGCTTTAATTAAAGTTTTTGATACGGAATTAAGGTTTTCTTGCTCTTCTAATGGTAATCCCATTTCCAAGTGTTTAAACAGAAGCAATTTAAATCTTATCTAATATGTGGCAGTGAAATCTTAATTTGTTAAAAATGGCTTTTTAAATGAATACTTCTTTACATATGTATTTAATTTCTAAAGTCTAGTGCCATTTTTTTCTATAAATTAGTTATTGGTTTTGATGAAAACCCTTTACATAAAAACTACAGTCTCTTCTTTTTTGTTTTTTTCTTGATATATGTTACCACAAAGAATAACTCTTAATGGTATGTGATACTGAAAATGTACCCCTAGAGTATGAAGATGACTTCATATTTTTCAGTGAAGGATAGGATTTCATAGGAATTAATGTTGTATTGATAAACACATAGTAACAACATCTTAATAACAAGCTATTAAAACTTATTTTGATAAATACAGTTCTGCACATGGGATTTGCAAATGTGGAAAACCTTAACTGTAAAATTTTAGTATATATGTTATGAGGTTTAACTTTTATTTGAAGCACTTTTTAGATGTTAAATGTAGGTGCCAGTTTTGAAGGGTCTAATCAAACAACTTTAAAGCCAAAAGGATCCCTGGGCATCATGTTAAGCCAGGTCAGTTCATACTACAGAGTGAGAGAATTAAGATGCAGAATATTGTGTTAAATACCCAAGTTTCCACAGCTGCTCAGTAGCATAGAAAAATCAAAGACGAATATATAGCATCCAGGCCAGTTCGTTTGATTAATCCAATTGTTTTTTCATCCTGGCTAGACATTAGAATCCCATGGAAAGCTTCCAAAAAAAAAAAATATATCCGGCCAAGGACTGTGGCTCACACCTGTAATCTCAGCACTTTGGGGGGCTGAGGTCAGGAGTTCAAGACCAGCCTGGCCAACATGGCGAAACCCTGTCTCTACTAAAAATACAAAAATTAGCCGGGTGTGGTGGTGGGTGCCTGTAATCCCAGCTACTCGGCAGGCTGAGACAGGAGAATCACTCTAACCCGGGAGGTGGAGGTTGCAGTGAGCTGAGCTTGCGCCACTGCACTCCAGCCTGGGCAACAAAGAGCGAAACTGTCTCAAAAAAAAAATAATAATAATTATATATATATATATATATAATCTCGGTACCAGGATTCCACCACAAGAGATGCTGATTGGGCATGAATATTTTTATAAAGCTTCCCAGGTAAATCTAATGCTCATGCAAGATTGAGAGGCACTGTGTTAAATTATAATATCTCTTTCTGTGAAACCCAAGATTGTTTGTGAACAGTGGAGCAGGTTTTCAAGTTAGATTAAGATATTGAGCATAGCTGCATATAATATTTTACAAATAATTTTAGATAACTTGGAGATTTTCTGCTATTCTAAAAATGTTACTTTTTGCTCATTTGAGATAAAATATAATTCTGCCTGCTCCTTGAAAAAGCTTTGAAGATACGGCTTTATTTTATCAGTCACCTGTAGTCTAAAAGCAGTAGTTGGCATCCACACTGCCTCCACTCTGGTCACTTGTATGATGTATATCTCTTGGTAAATTTGCTTGTAGTAGATTTCAAAAGGTGATTGTGGGGGATCAAGTGGCCTTTATAGTTAGAAAACCTCTTCTGGAGATTTCGACACATTCCATACTTGACATAGCACTTCTCACCCACTATTTCCTACTCCTGGTAATTGTTCTAAAGTAATAGCACTTCTCACCCACTATTTCCTACTCCTGGTAATTGTTCTAAAGTATTAACATACATTTTTCAATTTGTGTCTTCCAAAAACCTATTTTCTAGTTATTTTCCTTGACTACAAAGAGCTCTTATAAATAGATAGAAAAAGCCAAACAATCCAATATAAAATGAGTGTTTCTTTCTGAAAATCACTTCAGGATCATCTGTTTGAATTATTATTGTATTCTTTGTTATCTAAAAACTTGTAAGTTAAAAAATGTGTTTGACATTTTAAAAACCTTAATTACTTTTAATTGACAAAAGTTGTACATATTTATGTACAATATAATGTTTTGAAATATATATACAATGTGGAGTGGCAAAATTGAGTAAAGATATGCTTTACATCACATGCTTTTTTTGTGGATCTGACATTTTTAATTCCTTTATCTAGTTTTAATTAAAATTTATTTTTATATACGCATTAGTTGTATAAATATGTGTAGTTTATAAACATGTATAAACATTAGTATAAAATTCTACTAAACAATATTTAAACACATTTGTTGTTCAAGATTATGGTAGAAATTTTTCTTCTCTTTGGATAACTTTAGGTTTGATATGTTTTTCCTGTTCATATAGTGACAAGGGAGAGAATAGAATTCTGACAGGAGAAAGCAGAACTTAGAGAAGGGAAACACATAAGCCCTTGTATGAGTGAAAAGGGAATAGTGTTTGTGTTTGTGGGGATTTTATTTTTATTTTTATTTTTATTTTGAGACAGAGTCTCTCACTCCATTGCCCAGCCTGGGTTTCAATTTTTTTTTTTTTTTTGATAGGGAGGTAGGGTTTGGCATTGTTATACAGAGGAAAGGCAGTGAATGACTGCATTTTCATATTCTGAATTCAAATTGTTTGAGCAACAGTCAGGGTTTCAAACATGTATATTTCTTGTTATTGTGCTAGGAAACCATGAGAATGCAGTTAGTTCATAGTTGTCACAAAACAAGTATTTGCATGAATGACATTTAAATTTTAAAAAGAAATAGATTTTAAAAACATTTTACTTGAATATGTTTACGAAATGAAAACAATAATGTAATCTGTTCATATAGTTTGTACCTTTTTGGTATGTGTATGTTGTGGTAGAGGGTAGTTCAGTTATCTATAACATACTAAAGTTAATAGAGTGCTGTGGCACACCAGCATGGCACATGTATACATATGTAACTAACCTGCACATTGTGCACATGTACCCTAAAACTTAAAGTATAATAATAATAACATAAAATAAAAAATAGAGTGCTGTGGATATTATTTTAAAATTTTTGTTAGATAAATTGTATAAAATTTTCTTATCTAGGTGGGGAACATTCTTCTCAGTTCACGATTCAAATTGGCAAGATTTTTTTTTCTTTTTCAAGTATAAGGGGTATATAGAAATGCATTCTCATTGTAAAATATTCAATTATTATGTGAAAATTCTCTTTAGTACTTATCCCTACCCAGAAAGTCTCCTAGTGGTGAGGAGGTAAATAGTTTGATGTATAGTCTTCTGGTTTCCTCTTTTGCATTTATAAACACACTATTTTAAAAATATAAATGTGGCTATGCTGTGTATAGTATATTAGCTACTAACTTTTTTCTTATATTCAATGCTATTTTATGTATATCTACCTCATTATTTTTTAACAGGCATATACTATTTAATAGTATGAAAATATATAGTTTATTTTAGCTTTTCTACTGGTGGACATTTAGCTGGCTTCTAATTTTTCTTTATTTAGAGGTGCTGCAATCTTGTCAGATTCATCTTTCTGAATGAATATGTGTGAGCATTTCTATTAGGATACATACCTAGAAGTGAAGTCACTAAGTCAAAAGGAGTTATTTGCAATACAAATTTTGTTAAATACTGTCAGAATGCCCTTGTGGGGCAAGGTTTGAATGTACCGCCAGGAAAGATTTGTCAGTAATGGTCTTCTACCAGCAGTGCTTCCTATTCTTTTTGGTCATCAGTAGCTAGCTAGGAATCTGCCCTTCTTCTAATCCAAGAGTACATATGCCTTTAGCCAAGGGTGGGCAATCTTGCTTGCAGCCCAGCAGAAGTAAGGGAAGGGGAGAGAGGAAATCAGCCTTAAGATTGTTGGCCGGGCGCGGTGGCTCACGCCTGTAATCCCAACACTTTGGGAGGCCGAGGCGGGTGGATCACGAGGTCAGGAGATCGAGACCATCCTGGCTAACACGGTGAAACCCCATCTCTACTAAAAATACAACAAATTAGCTGGGCGCGGTGGCGGGCGCCTGTAGTCCCAGCTACTCAGGAGGCTGAGGCAGGAGAATGGCCTGAACCCAGGAGGCGGAGCTTGCAGTGAGCCGAGATAGTGCCACTGCACTCCGGCCTGGTGAAAGAGCAAGACTCCGTCTCAAAAAAAAAAAAAAAAAAAAAAAAAAAAGATTGATTTAGGTGACTGTTGTCTTCACCCACCGTTTCCATCTGTTGCCTTTAGGCTGAAGCTCCCGCATTTTCCCCCGGAAGAGTACTTATCTTCCATGTGTCTGGGATTTTACCTTCCAGTTGATCCTACTAGATTTCTTTTCTTTTTTATAGACAGGGTCTTCCTCTGTTGCTCAGGCTGGTGTGCAGTGGCACAATTGTAGCTCACTGCAGCATGAAACTCTTGGGCACAATGATCCTCCTGCTTTAGCCTCTCAAGTAACTGGGACTACAAGAATGTGCCACCATTGTGGCTACTTTTTATAACTTTTGTAGAGATGGGATCTTGATATATTGCCTAGACTGGTCTTGACCTTCTAGGCTCAAGTGATCCTTCTGCCTCAGCCTCCCAAAGTGCTGGAGTTACACATGATCTGTCTTTTAGAAATTCCTCATAATTTCTGCTCTTTTGATGGTCTACTTATTTTCATGTGCTCAGTACATCTCATGTCCATATCTTTAAATATTCTAAACAGGCCATTGCATTATAAAACTTGGTATTGAGTTTTTAAACATGTTGCCTCCCTTCCTTCACAACTTCAGTGTCTTTCTAGCCCATGACATTCAACAGGGTAAAGAAAAATAAACATGCTGCTGCTTGCTTTCCTGTATGCTTACAAAAGTTTAATTTACCCTTACTTCTTCATCTCTAGTATGTCCCACAGTTTTAGGTGGCAAGGAGAAAGAAAAAGTCAACCCAACTGTTTTGGTTTCCATGTAGGGAAGTTTATCTATGCTAGACCTTCTTTACATTGATCAAAAGGGTGCATACAGCATTGCCCTCAGTACAAGCTAAGACATCGCACAACTGCACAAATAGTTGTATTTTATTGCATTCTGTCCTCCTTACTCCCAAGAGAAATACATAATAGGAAAGTAAAAATTAATTCCATTTCCTTCAGCAGTATTTTTTGAGATTTCTGAGGAACTGGAAGTAATGATTTTGAACATACAGGCAAGTGTATGGAGTATAACTAAAAATGAAATATATTTTTTAAGTAGTATATCAAAATGGTAGCACTTTTAAGGTGTTAGGGAGGTAAAGATTATTTAATTCAGCTCATTTATTTTATTGAAAAGGAGACTGAGACCCAAGTAGGTTATATGAGTTTGCTAAAGATCCAACAGGTATTTAATTATAAAATCAGAACTAGTGCTGTTCTAACTAGTGCTCTAACTAGTACTCTAGTGCTGTTTTTCACACTGTGTTGCTTTTATAGTACTATTATGTAGTGACATAATTAAGCTTTTTAACAAGTATGTATGAGAGCACAACTTACAATATACAAACATTTGTTGAGGAATAAAGAAAAATAGGAAGCCCACAGTTTTTAAAAATACAACTCCTAAAAGTTAAAAAAATTAGCTTAAATGATAAGGGAGATCATGTATAAAAAGAGCATTTGAATCATTATAAAAAATATCTTTCAAAGCAGATGTTTGGAGACCACTTACTGCCAGTAATTTCCATTTTCATGCAATTGCTTTTACTGAGAGTTCTTATTAAAAAATCTTTTGCACTCTTTATCCTTTATTTTATTGCATTTTTTTTTTTCCGAAGAAGGGAAAGAAGTTGGAGGCAAAGGAGCCAGAACATAAGATTGCTGGTGAGCACTTTTTATCAAACAGCAGAGTACAATTAAATTTCTCCAAAAAAATTTCAAAACTAATATGTGGCTCTAAGTTTTTTTTTCATTTCAACAACTTTTGGAGTACAAGTGGTTACATGGATGAATTGTATAGAGGTGAAGTCTGAGATTTTAGTGCACTAGTCACCCAAGTAGTGTACATTGTACCCAATATGGAGGTTGTTATTCCTTGCCTCTCCACTGGTCCTACCCCTTCTGAGTCCCCATAGTCCATTATATCACTCTGTGTGCCCTTGTGTACTCGTAGCTTAGCTCCCACTTATAAGTGAGAATATGTGGTATTTGGTTTTCCATTCCTCAGTTACTTCTCTTAGAATAATGGCCTACACCTCCATCCAAGTTGTTGCAAAAGACATTATTTCATTCTTTTTTATGGCTGAGTAGTATTCCATGGTGTATACATACCACATTTTCTTTATCCATTCATTGTTCGATGGGCACTTAGGTTGATTCCGTATCTTTGCAGCTGTGAATTGTGCTGCAATAAACATATGCTTGCAGATGTCTTTTTGATGTAATGACTGATTTCCCTTCAGATAGATACCCAGTAGTGTGATTGCTTGATTGAATGGTAGACCTACTTTTAATTCTTTAAGAAATTTCCAAACAGTTTTCCATAGAGGTTGTATTAATTTACATTCCCACCAGCAGAGTATATGCATTCCCTTTTCACCACATCCATGCCAACATCTACTGTTTTTTGACTTTTTAATAATGGCCATTCTTGCAGGAGTAGGGTGGTATCTCATTGTGGTTTTAATTTGCATTTCTGTGATGATTAGTGATGTTGAGCATTTTTTCATATGTTTGTTGGCCATTTGTATATGTTTTGAGAAATGTTTTTTTTAAAAATACACTATTGTAGTTACTTTAACTCTGATGTAATTTTTGATCCATTAACGAAACATTAACGTTTTTAATCTAGGTATTTAATATGTCAGTATAGTTTAGCAAATTTCTTTTTACATAATAGGAATACAATAAATTTTTTGTAGTTAAATTACATTCATTTAGGAATTTTATACATTAGTAGTGGAGCACAAGTTATCCAATTTGTGCTATGTTGTGTAAAACTGAGGCTCCTGTAAGAACTCCAGTCTATTTTCTACCTTGATTTTGAGAGCAAACTCATTTTAACTTTGAATATGTTAGCTTCATTTTAGATCTATGAAAGAATGATCAGAGTAGGGTACATATTTATCATTTTGATGGGCTTTATTTAAGTGCATACTAGTTGCTTCTTCTTGTGCTAGAAGCTTGGGATTCATACAAACAGTGGGGAAGAACCAGACTGCCCTCAGTTGTGGAGCCTAATGGTATGATGGATGTTCAACTAGTTATTTAATTACAGCCTACTTATAATCTTAGGAATAACAAAATTATATAGGAATCTGTATAGTAATAACAAATAGACTGTTACAAGATGGTTGATATCTGTAGAATATGAAATATAAACAGACTTGAATATGTAGATACGCCTTCTTGCTAAACTTAAAAAACATCTTACTGTTAGGAAAAGTGTTTATAACAACCCTTATTTTGAGATTCTGAAGACTAACTAAATGTTTTCTAAGTAATTTGGAGTTAAACAGGTGTTAAGCTTTGCAATACTTGATAAAGGTCTATTTCATTCCCTCTGAGAATGACTCAAATCTTCCTGGAGAGGGAAAAAAAGCCACATCAGCTTCCAATTGTCAAAATTCAGTTTTTAAAAACTCAAGCCTTTTTCCCAATGGATTTCCAGATTGAAGAACATATGGACTCTATCGTCTGGGCAAATACTTTCATTTTCCTTTTGAATTACTTTTAAGACTTCATCCTGATATGAGAAGTGTAAAATGAAACCATAAGGTATTTAAACATGTACCTCTCTGTGATTTTATTTTCTTTTTAAACTTGCATTGATAATAAACTTATAAAACTTAGAAATAATGACTTTGCTTTTAAAATTTAATGCATTTTTTCCAGGTATGGCTGCATTTATTTCTCCAGCAAATTAAAATGTAGAGGTTATTCTTGGTGTTCTCTCTCTCTAACATGATTATTTCTTTTAGTAGACTTAAGTGCATATTTGTCTTTTGATTAAAACTGCTGAATTAGGATATATATATGTGTGTGTATGTGTGTATATATATATATATATATATATACATACACACATATACATAATATATGTATACATAATGTTTATTGTGAATTTACTACATAATTAAAATAAACAGCATTTTTAACACTTCTGTAGCTAAAGAAAATGCTATAGCAGACCAGAAAGCTTACTTGTCATATATTTGCAGTAAAACTAATGAACTGACTAGGACATAATATAGTTTATTGCTGTTTGAAGAGATTAGCACTGAAAATATTGGCTTGTTCTTGAGAGGGTGCAACTAATTTTTTATATAAATTATTTCTAAACTTAGGGCTTTATACTTTTTTAACTTTAAAAAATAAAAAACTATTCCAGGTTTCCAAAGATTAGGAGTTGAAAGAGAAGAGCTACAACTCAAATAACTTAATTTTTCTGTTTCCTAATATAAACAAAGTTGAGGGAATCTCATGAACCCTTTGGAATATTTTTACATTTCATTTATGCTTTTGTTAGCCTGCATAATCCTCATTTACTAAAAGATGACTTTTTTTCCATGCAAGATCCTTTTTGGGACAGAGAGTCTTTCAGATAGACAAGAGTATAAGTGATATGAGAGCAGGGTCTTCATTTGTTTTCCCCATGCTATATCCCTAGCCGAGCACATATAACTAAATGAATGAAGCAGAATAATGAAAAGTAAACTTTCAACAATAGTAATTTGCAGAAGCTGATTATACTGTGTGATTATAAAGGCAAGAAGAGAAACTATCAGAATCTAAGAGTTCTTTTTTTTTTGTTTGAGACAGGATCTTGCTCTGCTCTGTCACCCAGGCTGGATGTGCAGTAGGATGATCATGCCTCACTGCAGCCTCAACCTCCCCAGGCTCAATCGATCCTCCCACCTCAGCCTCCTGAGTGGCTGGGACTACAGGCTCGCACCATCTCACTCAGCTTTTTGTATTTTTTGTAGAGATGGGGTTTCACCATGTTGCCCAGGTTGGTGTTGAACTCCTGGGCTCAAGCAGTCTGGCCCACCTTGGCCTCCCAAAGTGCTGGGATTTCAGTCATGAGCCACTGTGCTTAGCCGAACAGTGCATTTTAATGTGTCTTTGTGATTAATAGACGAGGTTTAGTGGCTATAGCAATGAACTGGTAAAAGAAAATTGATGCGTAGCCTATATGGCTTCTGTGTACCTCAGGCGGAATATAGGAAAGCTCTCACATAGACATTAAGTTGTTTGAATTGATAGAGCCATTTTTTTTTTTTGAGACGAAGTCTCATTCTTGTTGCCCAGGCTGGAGTACAATGGTGCAATCTCTGCTCACTGCAACCTCCGCCTCTCGGGTTCAAGCGATTCTCCTGCCTCAGCCTCTGGAGTAGCTGGGATTACAGGCGCCTGCCACCATGCCCAGCTAATTTTTGAATTTTTAGTAGAGACAGGGTTTCACCATGTTGGCCAGCCTGGTCCCAAACTCCTGACCTCAGGTGATCTGCCCACCTTGGCCTCCCAAAGTGCTGGGATTACAGGCGTGAGGCCAGTGTCCAGCCAGCGCTACTTGTTATTCATTTTAAAAGTCTAGATTTTAAATGTCTAGATTAAATGTCCAGATTATTCATTTTAAATGTCTAGATTAAGTGTTTTATCGTTAAATCATATTTGTTTCTTTATGAGGTTTTTTGAGATAGTTCATATTTTAGTTCTTGAAATTAACATAGATAGTATTGCTGCTTGTTAGAGCTATTTCAGCTCCCATCAATGAATTTTTTTTCAGGAACCATTTTTTCTTAATCTTTCTCTTAACTTTTTGATTCTCCTCAAAGTTGAATATTGATACTTGAGTGTCAGTATTTGAAGTATAAACCCTAGTTGACAAGCTTGCTGACAAAATGTACTAAACTTGCCTTTGCAGGTTAATGAACTGAACATGAATAAGCCCTTAGAAGTTTGCAGGCTTTGTGATTTTGACTTTTTATCTTTTCAAATTATATTTCTCTATATCTAGTGTATTCTTACGATGTGTCAGGGTCTACTAGAATCTCTTTATGTTGTAAAATTCTATGGCATTTGTAAAGTACCATTTGGTGGATTATTTGCATTCATGCTTTCCCCCCCAAATGTTTATAATGTACTAAATCCAGTATATAATTTAAGTGACTTCTGTACTACAGTTGAATAACTGAAAGATTTATTTCTACTTGCTGAGTTTCTCTTCTCCTATTCTCTCTTGAACTTGCTTCACTCAAGCTCTTTTCCCACCATATACTGAAGCTGTTCTTTTCAAGGTCACCAGAGACATCAATATTGTTAAATCCAATAGTCATTGACTAGTCTTTAAATAAATAAATAAATAAATCCAATAGTCAAGTCTCAGTTTTCTTCTTACTTGACTTTTTGATACCCTTTGATATGGTTGATTACTACCTTCTCCTTGACACATTTTTTTCATTTGGTTTCTGGGACACTGTATTTTTCTTGTTTTCTTCTTACTGCCAATATGAGATGAGTAAACAGGTGTTCCTCTTACTACTGGCCTCTCTTCAAAATTCCTTGCTGGTTCTTCCTCGTCTTTTCAATCTCTTTATTGTTGAGCTGGTACAGGCCTTACTCTTTGTACTTTTACTTTTCCATTTTCTTCTCCAGCTTTGGTCACTTGCTTGAAAGTCTGAGCCAGTCCACACCTGTATTATGTAAACACTAGTCATCAATGTCTCTCGAATTATATATCCTGTCAGGTTCTTTCCTTTGAACTCCACACTCTTATATTCAGTTGTTTACTGAATATCTCAGCTTGGATATCTGTGTTAGTTTGGGCAGTGGTAACTGCTTTAGTGGATAGATTCCAAATCTCAGTCAGTGTCCGATCATAATAGAACATAATTTCTGTTTCATATAAATTTTATAACATGTTTCTGGTGGATAATTTCCTTCATCTTATAGCTCCATTATCCTTAGTTCTTGGCTTCCAAGAGTGCCCCATTCATCTGCATCAAAACAGTGGAAGGTGGTAGAGCATGGCCAGTTGTATGTGGAAAGTTTTATTGGCCGGGTTTGGAAGTGTGCCTCAATCACTTCTGCTTGCATGTCACTGGCTACAACTCAGTCATATTGCCATACTTAATTGCAAAGGAGATTGGGAAATATGGTCTAGTTGTGTGCCTAAGAAGAAGATGAAAAGGGATTTGGCAAATAGTTAGCCCTTTTCTGCCCCAGATTTCTAATAGGCACCCTGAATAAAACATGTTTAAAACCAAATTTTAGACTTTCTTTATTAAAACCTATTCCTCTCACATTCTCTTTTTTCTCAGGGTCAGTTCTTTTATTTTCTCAGATCAAAGTACTTGTAATATCAGTGCCTCCTCTTCTCTCACATCCCATATATGATCTGTTAGCATATTCTTTTGACTCAACCTTCAATATATATCCATAATTCAATGACTTTTTACTACTTCCACTGCTGCTATTTGTTCCCAGACATCGTCTCTCTCTCCTGGATTATTGCAAAAGCCTATAAACTGGACACTCTTTCCACTCACAGCCAGGCTCTTGCAGGAGCTGGAGTGATCACGTTAAAACATGTCAGGTCTCATCAATTCTTTGCTTATAATCTTCTAATGTCTCATTCCACAGAGAATAAAAGTCAAATTCTTGTTATAACCTATGAAGACTTAAATGATTTGGCCCTCTTAGAAACTATTTGATTTCTACTTAACTCTGTTATTCTTTATGTATCCAAAATGGCCTCCTACATTCCATCATTTCACCAAGTGTGTCTGCCTCAGGGCCTTTGCATTACTGTTTTCCCTGCCGGAAATCCTTTTGCTTTAAGATATCTGCATAACTGACACCTTCACCTCCTTCAAGTCTTTGCTCAAAGGTTGCTTTCAGAAAATTATTTCTAAGCATCTTACTTGAGATGTTAACATGTTCCCTATTACCTCCCTTGTATTTTCTGTCCCTTTTTTCTGTTTTGTCTTTGGTACTTATTGTCATCTGTCACAGATATGGCCAGCTGATAACCATAGTTTCATGCCTCTTTGTATAGTTTAAAGTTTTGCTGGGAAATGGCTACCCAGCCAGGGAACACATTGCTTTTGCAGTGTTACATGACTTAGGGAGATGAGTGGAATGTGAGTAGATTACATGTATGTCCTTTCTGGGCTGAGGTGATATATCACCTATTGGACCTTTCCTATGTTCTTTTTTCATCTCTACACTTAGCTTTAGGACTTTGATCTCTACTTCAATTATAGGTCTACTTTTTCCATGTAACATTTAATTAACTTTGTACATCACATGGTTTGGAAACTATTTTGTTGTGAACAAAATGGCTGTATGCTTGAGCTTTTCTTTCATACCCTTATTCATTTATATTTATTGCCTACCTTGTATCATAGACAATTTTAGGCAAGTTTCAATAAAACCTTGATAGGATAAATCTGAAAAATAGAAATTTAAAAATTAGTATTGAAGGCTCTCATTACATGTTGTTTATTCCAATAACTTTCTTACTTTTTTTTCCACTTTCTTGTGAAAGTGATATTTAAGATATTTCTTCCCTATAGTCTAATTTTCTATTTATCTGCAGTTATAATACCTACTTAAAACTCTTCAATATCTCCCCATTGCTATAGGGTAAAACCCAAGCTCCTTAACATGACATGGCCATGGCCTAAGCTGAGCTGGGAGAGTTGAACTGTCAGGTGTAGGAGTAGCCAATTAAAGTAACAAGCCAAAAATGAAAGGGTAAGCCTTTAATCATTAACTATGATGGTATTAGCAAGAGTCTAAATCCGAAGGAAGGGGTTGACTCCCCATTCCATTTCCCGCCATAGAATGGCATGCTTTTCAAGGGTTAGTGTGGATCTGCGCAGATGTGAGAGTCATCTTATTGTTGAAGAAACTTGAAACTAAAGACTCTGGTAGTTTTATGGACACGAGGTCAGAGGAAGGGCTAGCGGGGTGGTCTTGGAACAGGCTGAATCAGAGTAGGGAATACTGTCTTCAGAGTTTTCCCTTCCTCTCCAAGTAAGGAGTTCTAGGAAGAGATGCCTGGAGAGGATCTTAGGCCAAGGTTTCAGATACAGACCCAAGAATCAATTCATCAGGGCTAGGAATGTAAATGTGCAAAGAGCATAACTGGCCAGAGAGGCCTAAGACCTTAGCTGCAACTCCCGCCAGAGATGCAAAGCATTCGCTGTACATCAAGTCTGATGTGGGGAGTACAGCTTTTCTCTGTGAGGCCTGCCAGGTAAAGGTTTTGTAACTACCCATGGTAAGGCCTGAAAAAAATCACACATAGGTTTTAAACCAGGAGCCAGACTCCTAAAATGATTCTTCATGATCTGGCCCCTGCCCTCTATAGCCTCTTGTTTGGGCACTTCTTGCTTTATGCCGCTCCAAAAATTCTGGAAACATTTAACTTTAGCTTATACCCAATTGTTTCTTACTTGTTTGGCTTTGCTAATGCTGTTCCCTCAGAAAGAATGATTTTCCTTTTCTTATTCTGGTTAACATCTGTTAACTCTTTGACTCAATTTGTGGATTACTCACTTCTAAGAAGGCTTCTATTACTTTGGATAATGCCCTTCAACTGTGTCCCTAAGGTACCTTTTGCATATATTGTAATTATCTCTTCATATATCTGTTTCTCTTATTGGATTTTGAGGACCTTGAGAATAATGACTTTCTATCACCAAATGACCGAATCTCCTGTCTTTACTCATTGTTGGTATTCAGTATGTGTTTTTGATTAAATGAACAAGTGAGTAAATGAGTGAAATATAAGCTTATTAGTTTTTCATTCCTGATTTTTTATGTTATGGCTCTAACTTATCTTTCATATCTCATTTTCTATTGGACCGGCTAAATGAGACTGCTTCCAATTTTCAGACCTCTATACTTTTACTTAAGATCTCCTAAAAGCCTAAAATGTCATCGTCTTCTTTGTGTATCAATTGAAAATTGGCCTCTTCTTAAGGGTATTTCTCAAAAATCTCTTGCTCTTTAAAGCTTCTTGGTCCCTTTAAAACAAATGTGATTACTCTTTGCCTTTCTATCACTCTGGGTTTTTACTTTTCTTATGGTGTGGATTTTATGTCATATAATTTTTTGTTTGCTTATTTTATCCCATTTATTAGATTTTAAGTGCCTTGAGATTAGAGACTTGTGTTTTCTTCATATGAGTATTTCTTAAGGCACCTCAACCAGTTCTTTCCACACGGTAGCAGGTACTCAGAAAATATTTGTAAATGAATATAATTAAGCCAAAGTAGAGATGGTCATTGAGAACCAGAAGAAATGAAATGTAGCAAAGAAAGAGAGGAAAATAAATCACTTTAGAATGTAAATAATTGCTTCAAAATTGAAAGTACTAGAAAGTATCTAGGAGATGACAGCAACTATTCAGAGAACCGGCTTCCAACTGTCTTAAAAACCTGGAAGTGTAACATAATAAGCCTTGTTTTCCCCAGTGGATAAAAAGCACATACCTTTTGCTAACGCTTTAATTTATCCAGGTTGCAAAGTACAGTATATATATTTTTCTTTTATGTTAGTTAAAATCAGTTATTTACTCTCAGTATTTTCCTGAGAGTTTTGGTTTAAAAAGAGGAAGTGATGGATTATGCAGGGTTTTTCTTCATGTAAACTTTAAAAAATTATTTAAAGATAAAAATGTTATGCTATGGAGGGTGACTTTTTTTTTGTTCTTTTCTTGTCTTCCTGTTACTTACAAAGTATCTTAAGAAGAACAGCAACAAATGTGGTATAGGACTTGACTTTGAGAGAAATACAGCCTGGGCAAAGGGGCGAAACCCCATCTCTACAAAAAATGCAAAAATTCCCCTGGCATGGTGGCTTGTGCCTGTAGTCCCAGCTACTCAGGAGGCTGAGGTGGGAGGATCACCTGAGCCTGCGATGTTGAAGTTGCAGTGAACCGTGATTGTGCCACTGCACTCCAGCCTGAGCAACAGAGTGAGGCCTTGTCTTAGAGAGAGAGAAAGAGAGAGAGAGAGCGCGTAGAAATAAAGGTTCTGTATGCCAAAGCAGTGGTTCTTGGATATGAGATTGCTTCATGTAGATGCTTATGTAGTTCTTCCAAATTTGGGGCAAGTGATGTGGTTACTAAACATATTTCTGAATATTAATAGCTTTCAGGCTACTTACTTACAAATACTGACCCTGCACTACACAGTACTTAGTTATACTTATACATTGAAAAGCGATAGAGCCTTGTAACTCCTTACCCTTAGTCTAATAGCCTTGCTATTTGAATTTTGAGTGATGCTAATGCTGGAAAAATTATGAATTTTCTAGTTATTCTTTATTGAAATGTGTGTTGATAGGTTTTCATATAATTTATAAAATTTTTTGTTTATAGTTATATCTGTCACTTTATGAAAGAGATATTTAAACTCATACCAATATAATGAACTGTCATAAGAAGTATATTAATGAACCTCATATGAATGTCTTAGCCAAAGTAGCCTGGAAAATTTTTGGTAATGGGTAGTTCTAGTTGGGAGGGTCTAGCGCTATTTCTTAGTAACTGAATCACTCACCTTCTGGGCCTCAATTCTTCAACTGTTAAATAGGTGTTATATCTCTAATTTATATGGTTGTTTTGAGAATTAAATGAGATCACATGTAAAATACGTACTAGCATGCCTAATACATTATTGGCAGTCAGTAAATTTTAGTTCCCATCCTCTTTCCAGGAGCATAATGTAATATACTTCTTAAAAGAGTGAGGTCCTGCCTCCCTAAGCCTTCAGATGGTCTCTGCGTATAGATTGTTCAGTCCCATGATTATTTACAACAACCTTCTCCTCCCTATCCTCATCTCCTGGCTAGTGATCCTATCATTTTGAAGACTGAAGAAAGTCTTCAAGTACAGTATAATCTTCCATTCTTTTATTCTATATGTGTTTTAGTACAAGTTGAAAACATAGCAGCAGTAAATAAGGGGACTGGATATATTGATTAAATAGAATTACTGATTGTTTCATTGGAAAATCAAATTTATACTGCATCATAAGCCAGTTATATTGATTAATTATCATCAATATAAGTAGCTTGGGATGCAGGATAAATTTGATTTCCCAATGAGTCAATGTCTATAAAGCCTATGTTATTTATTTTATTAAAGTCCAGAAAGATCATGGATTTATCACCCATAGTCATCCCAGGCGTTCTTACTAGCCTACTCATTTTCCTTAACCTTCCTTATTTTGGTCTGCCAACCAAATCAGTCCTAAATCTTGAATGAGTCTGGTCAACTGCTTTGTTTTTTGTTTGTTTGTTTGTTTGTTTGTTTTTTTGTGATGGGAGTCTCACCCTGTCGCCCAGGCTGGAGTGCAGTGGTGTAATCTCAGCTCACTGCAACCTCTGCCTCCCAGGTTCAAGCGATTCTCCTGCCTCAGTCTCCCGTGTAGCTGGGATTACAGGCACACACCACCACGCCCAGATAATTTTTTATGTCTTTAGTAGAGACGAGTTTTCGCCATGTTGGCCAGGATGGTCTCGAACTCCTGACCTCGTGATTCACCCACCTCGGCCTCCCAAAGTGCTGGGATTATAGGCGTGAGCCACCACACCTGGCCTCAGCTGCTCTTTTTACTCTTTCTCCCAGGTTACTATGTATGGTCAGGGTCAGGGTATAGGAAAAATCACACAGTTCTGCAGATCGATGCTACCTCAATGGTTTCCAAACTCAGCTGGACCTTCATAAGCTATTTAATCATCCTTAAACTTTTCCTTTGTCAGCTTTCTTCTGTATTCCCCAAGGCACCTCTTCTAATTTTACCTCCTCTATTCTTTTCTTTAGTCAAAAATATGCTACGTAATAGAAAAAAAACAAACAATCAGGTGAAAATCTGGTCTTTAGTTTTTCTTCTCTTCAGCCCTGAATTTATTAAAGTACAGAGTCTTACATCCTTGGATTTTGCCACAAAGAAAGAGATGACCTTAGTTACTTCCAAGTTCATCATGTTATCTTTTTATGGGATCATACCTCTTCTGTCTTTATCAAACCCTGCTCCTGCTACCCACCTCCTACCCCCAATGCCATCTTCAGCTTCTTTGAATTCTTTGGACTTTGTCTTTTCCTTCTGCAAACATGCTTAAGTCTGTTCTTTACCTTCTTTAAACCGCCATCCTAGCTCTCTAATTCCTTTCATCGTCAAAATTTTTGAAGAGGAGATCAATATTAACCATTGCCACCAAAGCATAAGTGTTTTACTCTCTACTTTTCCTTCCAGCCACTGTAATCAAATTGCTCACAGCATCACCAGTAATCCATGTATCTGTTAGGTGGTTTCAAAGGCAAGTAATAAGAAATCTTGCACCAAGTGAACTTCCTGACTTCACTAGATTATGAAGAAGTATAATATCTCTTATAAGAAGTACAGATATGTATAGGCTTTGGGGCAGGCTTCTGGCTCCATTTTCCTGTAACTCTTTCAGTTCTCTGTCCCCGGATGTATAAACTATTTCCAATCTGGCTTCTCTCATGGATGCCTTATGACTGCCAGCAACTGGATCTACATGTTTCATTGTGTCAGACCATCAGGAAAAAGAAAGAACTCTTGTCTCAACCACTGAATAGAAGGTTTCCATTTCATATTGGTGAAAAGTGGTTGCTAGGCAGAATTTATGCAGTGATCCTCTTAAAGCTGGATTCCTGAACCAATCGCTGCTGAGAATGACCGGATTTATCATAATTTGGTCAGCTTTCCATGAGTCAGAGAAACATTTAAAAAGTGATAGATATCTGAACAAAATTGTAATTCAGTTATTAGGAAAGAGGAGAGAAGTGAATGCTAGATAGCTAACCAAGTACTTCAGTTTTCTCATCGTAAAACCCAAAGATCCCCACAAAATGGAAACAACTCAAGTGTTCATCAGTACATGAATGGATAATCAAAATGCAGCGTATCTACACAATGAAATATCATTCAGTAATAAAAAGAATGAGCTACCAATATGTGCTACAACATAGATGAACCTCAAAAACATTATGCTGAGTGAAAGAAGCCAGTCACACAATTCTACATATTGTATGGATTCCATTTATATAAAATGTCCAGAATAGGTAAATATGTTGAGAAAGAAGGTAGGCTCATCATTGCCAGGGGCTGGGAGGAAGGGAAGATGTGGAATGACGGGTAATGGGTATGGAGTTTCATTTTGGGGTGATAAAAATGTTTTTAAATTAGATCATGGTGATGATTGTACAACTCTGTAAATATACTAAAAAACGTTGAATTGTACATTTTAAACGGGTGAGCATTATGGTGTATACATTATATATCATAAAGCTGTTAAAAACACAAAACATGAACAAAGACTTCTCTTCATTTTTCATCCTTTTGAGCATGTTTAAGCAGAATTAAATAATGGTGCCCGCTGACTGCTTTGAAACATTTTTGCTCATTTGTCTTTTTTGGCACCGTTCTATTTTGGTTCTCCCATTATCTTATTGACTGTAAGGCACTGTTACTTCCCTGTTTCTTTTACTGATCCTTTTCTGTTCTGCAATATTCATCCCCATCTTTCTCCTGCCCTTTCAATAGACTCTTCTCTGGGTCTAGCAAAATACCCAGGCTTACAATAAACACTCAGTACATTTTTGTTAAATGAATGCTAAATCTACTGACTCCCAAGACTAACCAGTCTCCCTATTTTCTTATATATTTTTTGAGACAGGATCTCACTCTGTTACCTGGGCTGGAGTGCAGTGGCACAATTTCAGCTCACTGCAACCTCAACCTCTTGGGCTCAGGTGACGCTCCCACCTCTGCTTCCCAAGTAGCTGGGACTACAGGCGTGCACCACCACACCTGGCTAATTTTTGTATCTTTTCTTTTTTCTTCCTGAGACGGAGTCTTTCTCTGTCACCCAGGCTGGAGTGCAGTGGCGCGATCTTGGCTCACTGCAACTTCTGCCTCCCAGGTTCAAGCAATTCTCCTGCCTCAGCCTCCCAAGTAGCTGAGATTACAGGCACATGCCACCATGCCTGGATAATTTTTGTATTTTTAGTAGAGACGGGGTTTCACCACGTTGGCCAGGCTGGTCTCAAACTCCTGACCTCGTGATCCGCCCGCCTCAGCCTCCCAAAGTGCTGGGATTACAGGTGTGAGCCACCGTGTCTGCCTAATTTTTGTATCTTTTGTAGAGAGAGGGTTTCGCCATGTTGGCCAGGCTGGTCTTGAACTCCACGGCTCAAGTGATCCACCTGTCTCAGCCTCCCAAAGTGCTAGGATTACAGGCCTGAACCACCATGCCTGGTCAATCTCCCTATTTTAAATCTCTAGCACAGGCCTCTTCTCTTTCAATTCCAGTGTTATATTACTTACCTATTAGAAATACCTGCCTGGATGTTATTAGGCATCTAGGATGCGATTATTTTTCCCAGTCAGGCCTGTTTAACCTGTATTTATTTTAATTAAATAGCATCTTTATCTTCTAACTTCCCTCTTGTTACAGCCCTTGATTTTATTCTCATTATCTTTTTCCTCACCTCCCATATTTGAATATCATGTGAAGTCTTATCTATTCTACCTCAGATATGTCTTTAAACCCTTCACTTCTAGGCTCCATCCTCACTGCCTTAATCCAGACATTCTGTATGTTGCTGCCGTGTAGCATACAAGCCTGATCATATTAAACCTCTTGTGAAAGCCTGATGCTGTCTCTGTAGACTCTAGGATGTACAGGTAGTTACTTTAGTTAACTCTACAAGGTCTTTTGAAATCTGGTTCTAAACCTATGTTTTTTACCTTAGCTTTTCCCATCCTAAGGCTGTCTAGCTGTGATTTCTTACCAAAACTTCCTTAAATTACAGAGCCCTTTTACATTTCCATGCCTTTATCCATGCTATTTCTTGGCTTATAGTGCCTTTTCCATTTTGTTCAGCAGACTCCTGTTTATCATTTAAGTTTCTGTTTAAAAGTCATCGGTTTACTCTTTGATCAATTATTTATTAAGTGGCAGTTTTGTAACAGTTACTGTGCTTGGTCAGTGAATTACGCATAAACCCTTCTCTTCATGTAACTTACAAAATAGATCCTCATTGAAATCTTAATGAAATCCTGAGTCCTCCCAGGCAGGGTTAATTAGTACTTTGATCATAGCTATAATAGTAACGAATAAGATGTTCAAGAGGAAATGCTATGTAGTGAAAAGCTCATTGGCTTAGACGTCATCAGACTTATTATTTACTACCAATGGGTAAAACTTACTTTCGTCACCTTTAAAATGAGAATAGCAGTATTTAATCATGGCAGGGTTGTTGAGGCTTGGCGGTACTGTATATAACAGAGAACAGTGTGTAGCACAGAGTAGCCTAAAGTAATATAGTCTATTTTAACTTATTTTTTTTATATTTAATAATTTCCTTGTCCCCATTGTCCTGTGTAGGTTGAGCCCAGCATCATTCATTTGTATGTACCACAATCTGGTACATAGTTGGCACTCAACAAGTGTTTGGTGAATTTTTTTAAATTAGATATTTGGGGACAGTATAATAGATTTGTCTAAATAGTGAGGCTGAGGTGAGCTTTAAGGCTTCTGGTTCTTAATAACATCATTTTAATGGTTTTTTTTCCTAGATGTCTTTTGTTAGAGCTTTAACTGGTAGTATAACACCAGATTTTGATAGTCTCATAACTTTACTCAATCCCTGGTAAAAATTCTAAGTGAAGAAAGAAATGGTCAACTGGCTAACAACAGACAGGAAAAGCTTGGGATCATTTCTTGAATAATTAACTTGGTTGCCAAATGTCCAAACTAATAATTAATTGAAGATGGATATCTAGATGGCTTTAAAAAACAAATACAGACATACATTGAATAGTGACATGCAGAAATTCCTAATTACATAAAATTTGATTTTACATAATTAAATAAAATATATGATACTCCAGTGTCTCAATGTCAGGCCTCAATAAAGAAAGAATTCTGCTTTAGTATGTGTCTTCTCTGCTGGAATCCACACAATTGAAGGGTTTGTTTTTGTTTTTGTTTGTCCTTTTCATTAAGACAGCATAATGCATAGATCAGCTGCCCTTGATTTATAGTTGGTACTTGGTAAACAGAGGTTTTAGTTAATTTTCTTTTTATTTGCATGAAGGCACCATAGATTTCAGTTTGTGAGGTAAAGCATTCTCTTATATTGTATGATACCTATAGTACCTGAACATTATTTCACCAAGATTTATACAGAATGTGAAACCTTTCTAGAACTTAAGTGCTTTTTATCTTCAAGCTGACAGTGCTCTGAAAATGTTTACTGCTTTTTAGGGGTTACCATTTATTTCAGTTGTAACTAATGTCTACTATGAATTTTTAATCTAAAAATATGGAAATAGAAGCTAGTCAGATATAGGAGTTTAAAAAACAGGCAATGTGAAAATTTAAGAACAAAATATGAAGTGCTAAAATGTTCTAGGATTTGGAACTTTAGCTAGGAGAATTTCTTACTGACTTCTGTTAAGGTTATCAAGATTTATCAGGTATTGCCAAAGCAAAGTGGGCGAGATGGAAAATGGGAAAATTTTCTAATATGATTGTGTTTTGACAGGTTTTCTTTTTAAAACTCATATACTTTTATTGACATATTTAAGTTACATTAAAATGACACTAAAACCAGTGAGATGATAGACATGAATACATTTGACTCATTTGATAATAGGTGCCAATTCATCTAGGTTGTAGAATAACTGGGATACTTACATAGCTACCACTGATTTCAGTAATTAACATTGTTCTGGAAACTACTCTGCTTTAATACAGCAATATCCAGAAAGTTATCTACTTTAATATAGCAATGCGAACTTAATGGTTTTTGGTTAAATAAATGTTAATATTTCTCTTATGTACTTAATTATTTCATTCTTTTTATTGAATTTTGCTTGTGTTTTGACAACCAAGCATCTTCCTAATATGTCCACTTTTTCCTACAGCAGGGAAATACTGACTGTGCAACTGCCACTGATAGTGTCTGAAGGGCTTTGTTCTGTTTCCTGTTCCCAAGTTTAGATTTAACTTTTGGATTCCAGAGAAAGAAAGGAGCCTGAGCATTGAATTGTGGGGCAGGGGAACTGGGGGATGTGTGGGTAAAGGTAGTATTCTCCTAGCACTTGGGCTGTGGCATATAGTAATGTACAGTGAGCATTGCATAACTCCAGGGCATGTTATTTACAAAAATTTTGATGTGAAAAGTGCCCCCTGGAGTTGTGCACCTTAATAGCCATGTAGTAAAGCTCTGTTCTGTTACACATACTTTTTTGAATTCTTATTATTTGTTTTTGCATCTGCCTTTTCCATGACATCAGGGACAACATTGTAATAATCCTTGTATTGCCACAGCTGACTCAGGTAAATAATAAATAATTGTTATTAGAAAATATATTGGTATTTTATTAGAATATTTGGCCATTCATACCATGTTAACTGGCTAATTGGGTTTCAAAAAATCTAAACTTTATAATTCCTTTTTTTTTTTGGAGATAGTCTCTCCCTCTGTCAGCCAGGCTAGAGTTCATTGCCATCATCAGAGCTCACAGCAACCTCCAACTTATGGGCTCAAGAAACCTTCCCACCTTAGCCTCCCAAGAAGCTAGAACTACAGACATGCACCACCTCACCTGTCTAATTTTTTTTTTTTGAACCAGGGTCTTGCTATGTTGCCCAGGCTGGTCTTGAACTCCTGACCTCAAGCAGTTTTCCTTCCTTAGCCTCCCTGAGTTCTAGGATTACAGGCATTAGCCACAGTGCCCAGCCTAAAAATTCTTACAATTAACATGAGAAAAATAATAGTCAAATTTGTATAGTTGTATCATTTAACTATTAGAGGAAAAATGTGAATCGTACCTTAGTTGTTGATTTTGTTTTAATACTTCTGCCTCTTCCAAATGATTCTCATTTGTTTAATTCTTATTCATTTGTTCTACCTGATCAAATCAGTAACCATAAAGGGCCTAGGAAATAGAATAAATAGCCTATCTATTGATGTTTGAGTTATATTTCTTTCTAAAAATTTAATAATCTATCAAATTCTGTTCTTGTAGAACATAAAACATATATTCTATGTATTAAAATGGCATTGCCAGCCAAGCTCAGTGGCTTGTGTCTGTAATCCCAGCTACTCAGGAGGCTCAAGGAGGAGGATCATTTGAGGCCAAGAGTTCGAAACCAGCCTGGGCAATGTAGCAAGATCCCATCTCTAAGAAAATAAAAAAAATTAGCCAGATTACTAATTTTTGTACTGGGGAGGATGTCTCAGTTACTGGGGAGGATGAGGCAGGAGAATCTTTTGAGCCCAAAAGTTAGAGGCTGCAGTGAGCTTTGTTCTGTTCCCTCATGTTGCCACTGCATTCCAGCCTGGGTGACACTCTACCATCTTAAAAAACAACAACAACCACAAAAAAGCCATGACATTGCTTTATGTTATTTTATGTAGATTATAGTGATGTATTAAAGGTGTGTGTATACAAACACATAACGTGAAAGTTTTTTAAAAAGTAGAAACATAATTAGATGACGTATATGTAGAAAAGTCCAATAGACTTACATGGTAATTTTAACTTCAGACTCTGAAGTTAGACCAAAGAACGAAAAAACTAAATTAAAAAATAATTAGAAAGATTATAATATTTAACTTCAGTGCCATCCATAACTTTTTAAAGACATATGTTCCACCAGTCAAAGACTTTAGTACCTGGAGATTGTGTCCTAAGAGGAGCCCTAAGTAGGGCATCTTTGTAGAGAAGGGCTTATGTCTTCTGAAGGAAATAGTATTTCCAGATCTAAAACTTAGGCTAACCTCTTTACTTTGAAGATTTTGAGGATCTTAGTGGAAATGGATATGAGTGAAGTTTGTGAAAGGGTGTTGTGTAGTATTAATATAACTTTTGGGGATAGATACAGATATATAAAGGTATAGGTATATAATGTGATCTAGATATGTACTTATAAGGTGCCAGAATAAGTGATTTCTGATCTTATCCATGCTTATATTTGGTCAACAGTCTGTTTCTGAACACATGAAGTCTTTTAAATTTTGCTGATCGTACCATGGTGATAACTACAAAAATGTATAATCTTTTAATTACTTTATAACCTTTTGGGAAGAGGGTTGGATCACTATGTTATTAATAAATTTGCCAATTTTGTATCCTCTTTTGCCTGGAAGAGGCTTTTGAGGAAGGGACGGGGTAGGGAACAGTATTTCTTAAATGAGAGTGAAGAAAGTAAGTTGAAGACCAAAACCTACACATTCTCCTTTATAATACTGTTTTAAAATGACAAAGCCGGCCTCATTTTTGTGTGTGTGTGTGGTAGAGCGTTATACTGAGAGTATGTGTTGTTGGAGGGAGCAGACTTAGGGAAACAAAACATTGTACTTTAGGCCCAGGTTTGTTACTGTGTAAATGACTTTAAATATGCTAGTTATTAAATATATTTAAATGACTTTAAATATATCTCAAATAAGTGGGTGTGTGGCTTTTTCTCCAAAAACATGTATTACCTACACAATCTGAAATTGGGTGATAAATGCTATTTTCTCAAATGAGACTAATAGCTAACTGTTTGATTATAAGTCTATTACATGAGAACTTTGTACACTGTAGCACCTGGAGCAGTGCTTTATATGAAGAGACTCTCAAAAAATATATTGAAATTGTTGGTCTTTTGAAATGATTTTTATAATTCTTTCTAGATATGTGATCTGAACTAAGTGATATTTGCTTTGTCTTCAGATTGTTTTTAATTGTGTTGTAACTGGATTGTGTTGGAAAAATAGTCCTTAAGTGACATAGCTTCAGGAGATTGTAAATATTATCATGCTGTGGTATTACAGGTCGTTTATTCTATTTGGACCATGTTTAAGTATTTAAAAAAATTATTGATAGAATAGGCCGGGTGCGGTGGCTCACACTTGTAATCCCAGCACTTTGGGAGGCCGAGGCGGGCGGATCATGAGGTCAGGAGATCAAGACCATCCTGGCTAATATGGTGAAACCCTGTCTCTACTAAAAACACAAAAAATTAGCCGGGCATGGTGGCAGGCGCCTGTAGTCCCAGGTACTCGGGAGGCTGAGGCAGGAGAATGGTGTGAACCCAGGAAAAGGAGCTTGCAGTGAGCAGAGATAGTGCCACTGCACTCCAGCCTGGGTGACAGAGCGAGACTCCAACTCAAAAAGAAAAAAAAATTGATAGAATATATTTGAAGACAGTATGTATGTCTGCATATATATATATAGTTAGCAGAAATGAAACAACTTTCATTTCTATTATGTGAACAAATTCTCAGTTCCCTGATGCATTGGTGTTTTTGTTTTAGCCAAATGTCACCATTTTGACCATTTTTTTTAGTGTCAAGGTATAAAAATAAATATTATCGTTTTATTTCCTCCTAATTTTGGTTATTTTTGCTATAGATATTATCTTTGAGTTACTTGATAATTTGTGAATAATTTTATAATTCCTCTGGTTTTTCTGCTGTGTGATAAAAGTTATTGTGCATATGCTTAATAGCCATTGAATTTGACTTCACTGTGGTGCATTATAGTAGAATCTATTGTTACCTAATTTAGTCATAATTTTATCATAGCAGCTTAACATCTCTTATAATTTTAATTGTTATCAAGAAGAATGACATCATTTAATTTGACTCAAAATGTAGAAGGATGGATGAATGACAAATTAATAATTTACTACCTTTGCATAATACTGAAGCATAGAGTATTAGAAGGATAGATGGCAGAAAAGGTTAACAAATTTGAGCAGCTTTCATTAGCTTTACATCGTCATATGTTTGTGGTGCTGACTGAAATAGGCTTTGTAGGAGATCTCAGTCTAGGGAACTAATTACTTGTGCCGATTGCCGCACTGATGAATAGACCCTCATTGTATCATTCCCCTGAAGGCGAGGAGCAGCCTGTGATTCACGACTGCATCCTGGCTGATATTTGATAATAATTTTAACAGATAAATGTAGGTAGGCAGAATGATGAAGTGCCTATCCAAGCTCCATGACTATCAAAGCCATACACACAGCCATCTGTGTACTGCCTTTTTCCTTCTCACCTAAGGAGAATTTCATTTTATTAATTGAGTTAAAACAACTGTTGTCTTTTGATTGTATGTATATTCTGTGGGTATTTATTTATTTTTAAATAATATCATCATGTTTTTATTCAAATTTAGACAGAATAATGAAGAAATATATAATAATAGCTTTTTAAATTTTTCTTTTTGAGAACTGCAATTCTTATACTTTTTTTGTATTACATTTTGATTACATTATATCTCCTTCTCCTGACCAAAATCACCCAAGGAAATATTTGATGTTCTTATCCCTTCAGCATTTTCAGAGATCAGTCTCTACTGTTTTAAAAAGATTTTCTTTAAATAACGTACTGTTTATGCTTTTTATTAATACAAGATAGTTTTTAATTGATAAAAGTACTTATTTATAAACCTATTTTGAATTTTTAAAGAGAACATCTTTAAAACATCAAAATAAAGGTAACTTTTACTTGGGTAGTTTGGGACTGTCAGTTGTTGAAGACTACTAATTTGTCAAAGCTGACAGATACAATTTTATTAGCTCCCGAAATATAAGTAAGATTGTATTTTGTATTAGTCATTCCTGAAGAAGTTTTGATTATGAATAATTTTTTAATTTCATTATTGAAACTTACAGGTGTTCCTGCTGTATATCTTTATTGAATTAATGTATTCTACAGAGACTTTTTTCTTACTATAACTGAAAACACTTTAGTATTTTCCTTATAAAATATTTTTCCAGCATGCTAGATCATGATTAGTTAACAAGAGAGAAAGCTGACATTTATATATTGCCATATAAAATGTGTATGTAATAGGGGAAATATAGAATTTGAAATGAGCAAACCTTTTTTTAAAAAATACATTTCCAAAAGTATGCTTTTGATATAGCAATTATTGCACATCATATAGCATGTAGTTTTTAATTAAATATAAAAACAGAGTACATAAAACAGAAATCCAATCTGATTTGCTTGAAAATAGATTGCTATTTCACTCTACAGGAATGGTTTATTTAAAAACAGTAAATGGAAAAGAAATGCATTTTCTTGTGTTGTTCTAAGCCTCAGGGGCTAAATGTAATGAATATTTTAAGAGATTATTTTAATTAAATTCCTGCACATCTAAACAGAGTAATATTTTATTATCACATACATAACCATGTAACTGAGATATTCATTAAAGTTAACACTTTCTGGACCAAGAATTCATGGTATGATTTACTGACCTTGTGCAAAAAGGCACAAATTAGGAAGAAAAATGAAGGGGGACGGACTTTGATTAATATAGGTAATGCTATACCATATTTATAATAGCCTTTTCCCTATTCTGGTTTATAAATGCAGCTACAGAGAAAGGTGCCCTGCTGAGGCTGAAATGAGGCTGAAATCAGAGCACATGCCACTAGAGTGTGGGGAAACTGATCACACTGTCAGCAATTCATTTCAAAATGATGTATTTAGTGCTCATTTCACCTTCCAAGAAAAGGAAAAGGAGTTCCTTAGACTAGAAGGTGATATTGTTATTTTCAAGGACATACCTAAGTTAAAGATTGCAGAAAGGGGAGTGTGAGATGGAGGGAGAATTAAGTGGAAGGAGAGGGAAAAAAAGGCAGAGCAAACAAGGAGAGCTTTATGCAGAAATTCAGTGCTACCACGCTGTTTGATAATTGCTAACATATGTGGCTTCTCTGTTTCATTGTAGTCGTCCTCTTGAGTTCTGGCGCCTTGACTACTGGGAAGATGACTTGCGGCGCCGGCGACGATTTGTGCGTAACCCTCTAGGATCGACACATCCTGAAGCGACACTAAAAACAGCCGTGGAACATGGTCAGTGTATAAACCATTCCTTGCCAATAGCAGCAGGTACAGGACTTGGTAATGAAGAGCATAACTTCATTATTACAAGGCACTGTAAAATGGTCCAACACCACATTTTATGGTTGTTCATACCAGAAAGAGAAGTTAAATTTTTTTATAGTTACTATAGAGTCCTATTAAATTATGGTGTCAAGTATATTTATTAATTATGTTACACATACAAAACTTACTTAACATAGACCCTTTGTTTCAGAGTACAAAGATTAAATATGTCTCCTTTTAAGCGACACATTCAGCTTTGAGTAAATGAATCCAGGAGGCATGCCTTAAATCCATGAATATCAGGAAGACAGCATTTACAAACCAGATAAGTTTCTAGGTTCTGTTGTGTATACATGGTTTTCGCCCAATCCTGGTATTTTAGCATGAGATCATGAACTGGGAAAGATAATAATAAATGTCCAATTGCCTAGATACTTTCTGAGCCTTGATTTGAAGATGGTTATGATAGATGGCTCATGGAAAAAGAGAATAAACATTATTTTCATACGTTCCTATTCTATATTATTTTGTTATCAGAGCTTAACAAAACATTTTTGCTTTTTTGATACAATGCATATGACTATGATTCAGTTTAGGTAAAAGTCTTATAAGTAAATTGGAAAAACTGAAAATTTCCTTTGGATTTGATACTATAAATTTTTATAAAATTTCACTTATTTTATGATTTTTGAAAGTCAATTAAGATATATTGGTTAAGGGGGAAATGCTCCTCCCCACATTAAAATTATCCTGACTTTATAAAATATAAATTGGTTTTTAATAAAGTCAGAAGTACTTTTAATTTTCCTTTTTCAGGGTATTGTTTTAACATGCAGGAGCTTGTGATTAAATGGAAATATGTAGCATACAAAATAAATGTTAATTTATATTCAATAAGGATATTAAGAATTTAGATTAAAAATCTGTAATCTTAGGTTTGGCCTCAGTCAGGCAGCTTAACCTCTTGCACTCAGCCTTAAAGAGCCATTTCTGGAAGAAAATGTCCACAATATGTCATCAGATATAACACCACATGTTACATCAGTCCTTTAAAATAAATGATCATACAGAGAATAGTCAATAACAAAGTGATCTAAAAGCAATAATAGTCTCATGGCCCTACATCTTCAACTACAGGAGGTGGAGAAAGAGAAATAAAATGTAGAATTAATTAGGCCACTTTTGCTTTTAGAGTACATATAGTTTTTAGGTGGTGATAACAGATTTCAGAGGGTTTTTTTTTCTTTTTTTGTGTGTTTTTTTGGATTTTCTGGTTTGTTTTGGTTAATGATGCTTACATGGAGAAGGTGAACTTTTTTTGCAATTTTTAACAAAATGTATTACCATGTCCACTTAAAATTTGAAATTTAATTATTTTTCTGTCTTCTAAACCATCATTTACAGTAATTTGTGAGTTCTGAGATCTATACATGGCAATATGTTTTCGTAAAAACATTTTCCTTTTATATCTGGAAGGGGAGGATTTGTTTTCTAAAATTGCACATAGATAGGCTGTTAATCTTTTATCCTTAGATATCAATAATTCAATTTAAAATTTGTGGTATAGATTTAATATAGAATTTATTAAAATATTCTTATCAAAAATAGTACATTTAACCATTTTGAAGAGTTACAGGATTTTTAATGAATAAATTTTAATTGTTGAGCTCTTAAAATCATATTGTTTTGTCAGCTTTTTTAATGCTAAGCATCTGCATTAAAGTTTGACAAAAAAGAATTTATTAACATGTTTTTACTATCATCCTAAGACTCTTGACTTGTATAGAAGTAGATTTCACTCTGATTACTCTCGATAGTAATTGAAAGGTTAATCCAATGTTAATTATCTATGTTTTAGTGTGCATTTTTAAATTGAGAGAGAACAGCAAAGGTAAGCATTGAGTAATATTTTATAGTAATTTTATGATTATTGTCATACTCCAAAATGTTAAAAACAAAACTTGCGTTTGAAATATATGTTTAAAAATCTAAATGTGTAGGAGATTCTTCAGTTGTCTTACAATTTCAGAGATATATCATATTTAATATTTACTATAACATTTTTTAAAAAAACACAAATTCTAATCCTACCTCATATTTATTTTATTTTAAATAAAAAGGGAATAAATTCAGCACATAGATTGTATTATGGTATTGTTCGATGTTAGAAAATTTATGCTAATATATTCTGTAAACAAAGAGCTTAATTTTTTACTGGTGTATTAAATATTTTATGGTGACATTCAATTTTAATTTGGTGTTTAAAAATTTTGGAGCATTAAAGAAGCTAATCAAAATAAACTTATTAAGAATTAAGTATGCAAAACAAAATTGTTAATGTGATCAAAAAGCAGTTGAAATTACAGATTTTAACATGGATAAATACCGTGCTTCAATGTTGAATTTAAATGTTTAAAATATATATTAATGAGGATAGTATGTCATTCTTATATTTTTATGACTTCTCACTTTTATTTATAATTTATTTAACTAAGGAGATAGGACATTTTAAAAATGCAGAATCTTAGAACACCATGAACTATATTATCATTATCAAAGGAAGACATCTAAATAGAAGTGCCATTGGAGATCAGTTACGTATTTTAGTAGTAAGAGCCATCTTTTTTATAGATTGATTTGATTTGAAGGAAAGCCTCTAGTGTAAAGGTGGCAGAGTAAATACCTGAAGAGTGATGTTCTCTGTTTGGGCGATCAATACCAGCCCCATGACTCTACTTCTGGCTACCTTCTAGTTAAAAACAAATTTTTTAATTCTGACAATTTAATTGCCCTTCCCAAGTTCACATTAACTTGCTTGGGGAAAAAAGCTTTAGGTAATTTTTCAAGCAGAGACCCTCCAAAGTGGTTATTTATAAAAGTCATGCTGTAATGGGAGATTTCTTTAACTTTGCAGAAACTGAGTCATATTTTAAAATTAAAATTAATACTTCCTCTTATGATTAAGTATTCTTTATGGAAATTAGCAGCTCAAGCAAAGCTGGGCATTTTATTCTTGAGGGCATTTTCTTCCATTTTATAGTTTTAAAATTTATTAGAAATTGGTAGCAATGATTTGTAACATTTTCCTAATGCCAGAGCCCTGGTTAGCTGTTACTTACTATCAGAGCATTTTAGATGTAGAAGGAACCTAAGGCTAACATCTAGTCTAACTTTATTCTTTACAGATAAGGAAACTGAGGAAACAAAGGGCCAGTATAATTTTTGGTAGATAAAGGACTAAAGCCCAGGTTAACTGACTGAAACCCAGATTTTCATATCAGTGTGCTGTGCTGTCCTCTAAAATTCATTATTAAATATAACGGGAATTTTATATTTAAATTAAAGACATGTAAAAAATGTTTTAAACGGTAGAAAGATTGGTTTTAATTCAGGTGCTAAAACAGTTTAGCAGAGAATCCTATTGAATTCAAGACATTTTTATTTGGTAGAGAACGTGCTTGCTAATAGAAATATATAAGGAGAATTTAACATAGTTTTAAAAGTATCTTGTAAGCATATGGAATGATACAAGTAACTCATTTGGTTTTCTAGGGATGACAGATCATGTAAAGATCTTAAATCGTGCCATTGTCTCATAACTTCAATAATGCCAGATACTGTTGCTTCCTTTTTAGGATCAACATATACTAGGTTCTCTATCTAAAATTTTGGTTAGCCCATGATTATTACGAGATGCACCTGGCTTATTCTCCTAATTATCCTTTGTAGTTTCATTAATTTTTACAGAGTCAGTTTTCTTGACTTGGAATGCTATGGACATGGCATAAACTATAGAGGGGAATCAATTAGAACAATAGTTGATTATAAGATATTCTTTATGTGTCCTGTTCAGAATGCTGTTATGGTGTGTGCTTCAGATCACATAAGTAGATACCCATTTTTATTTTATGTATGTTTGAAGGCACTCTGTTATTCTAATAGTAGTCTTTTTTAAAAATGCTAATTCTTAAAGTATAAACTTCTTTTACTTTAATACAGACTATTGATGATTCCAGTTCACTTGCTCAGTAGATGTTAAAAAGGATTTATATCAAAGGTGGAACAGTTTTTGTTGTGTGTGTTTTTGCTGTTTTTATATTTTAATTCTACTTACCTGTTTTGTGGTGGATAGATAAATCAACTCATGTCCAGAGTTAGCTCTGAAGAACTTGAATTTTACATTTTGGGGACCAGCCTCTCTCTCTTAGGCCTTTCATTGTTCTTAGCCTCAGTGAATCAAATCATTTTTAAAGATGACATTTCTGACAGATTTCTCCAATTTTATGTAACAATTGCAGTTTAAGTATTAAGTTAGGATAAATATTAAACTAGAATAAAAGGTGAAATTAAACCAGAATAAAAGGCATTTCTTAATAATGATATGAAAAATTTAAACAGCAATCATGTTAGTAACAATTTTATTAGCCAGAAATATCTGAATTGAGCTTTAAAATGGAACCCAAAGTATATTCTGACTTCATCCAATTAACTTTTAGACGTGTGTAGAATATGCTCACAGAAGATATCAAAATACTTGTTTATAATGGTTGATTGAGAATAAGGCAAATGAAAGTTAAAAATATACTTTTCCCCAGTACATATAAACATGATAATAATCCTTTATTTTATGCTTGGAAAAGTTTTGTTCTAATTTTTTTTTAAGGTTCTTTAGCAGAAAGCTATTAGACCACTGAGAATTGAACACCAGCGCATGTGGTGTATATTAGAGTACTGTTGGTAATTTTACTGCTGCTAACTTAAAATCCTCAAGGGGGAGTTAATTACAGGAAAACCATTCTAAATATCAGTAAGCTGCATATTTTCCATGACAAGAGGTTTTTCAGTGGAGCTTGAACAATTCCAGAATCTGAGCTTGTAAAAATAAGTAAATAAATAAATTAAAGTGGGTGTGTGTATGCATACAGTACACCTATAGTATGTAAAATTTTTAATGAAACTTTAATTCAGAAGTTACCTTACTGTGTTTTAATATAGGCAGCATGATTAGAACATATTTAAAAATTTTTTAATTGCAATTGGAAGGGATAATTATATTTCTCGTGGTCATTTATAAATGAATGTGAATTTATTTTTTGAGCTATTTTAAACCATTACATATTGCCACTGGGGACTCTCATTTTTTTGTAAATGTTTGCAGATTAAAGAGGTTTCTTCTTTTTTCCTTTCACATAAGCTTGGTGTACTTTAGGACATGTATGGCAATAATCAGAGGAAGTAATGAGCAGGGTGTTTAGTTGTTTCTGATGTGTTTGGCATGTTCATCAATTTTAGATTTGGAAATGAATATTTTTTGTTCTTGATTATTATTCTCATTTAACCTTTTAAAATGCACTATGAAAAACAAGAATTAGTAAACAAATTAATTATATACACATTCATATTTGAACAGTGGTTGTTTTGTTTTCTTTCTGTTTCTTACATCTAAGAGCTAATATGGCATCGTGGTTAAGAGCCCAGCTTCTGGCACCGTGCTGCCTGTTTTTAAATCCTGACTCTAATTGTCAAACGCATGTTAACTTGGTCAATTTATGTAACCTCTTTGAGCCTGCTTTCTTATCTTAAAATTAGAACTAAGCAGAAGGTTTATGAGAATTAAATGAATTAACTATGTAAAGTATTTTTAACACTACTCCCTGACTTATGCAAAATGATATGTAATATTAGCCTTATTATTATTTCTGCTTTGAAGAAGGAATTATAAATCCAAGAAATAAAAAGAATGTGGTATACTTATTCTGTACTAAAATCTAACTGGAAAATAATAATTTATTATAATTTACTTTATAAAAACATTTAGAAGATGGTGCTTCATTTGCATTTCTCAGTGGCCAATATATTTTTAATAATGTTGATAGCAAACTGCAAAAGATCTTGTTTAGCCTCAGGGCAGTGTTTCTGATTTTAGAGTAAGGAACTATAAATACTTGAAATATAAGTGATTTTAGAACATAGTTCTGTTTTTCTAAAAATTATTGGTTAATTGTAAGTATATTTCTTTTTAGCCTTTAAAAAAAAAATAGGCCAGGTGAGATGACTTACGCCTGTAATCCCAGCAACTTTGAGAGGCTGAGGTGGTAGGATTGCTTGAGCCCAGTAGTTAGAGATCAGCCTGGGCAACATGGGAAGACCTCATCTCTACAAAAAGTTAAATTAAAAAATTAGCTGGGCATGGTGGCAAGCACCTGTGGTCCCAGCCACTTGGGAGGCTGAGCTGGGAGGATTGCTTGAGCCTAGAGGCTGCAGTAAGCTGTTATTGTGCCTTTGCACTCCAGCCTGGGTGACAGAGCAGGATCCTGTCTCAAAAAAATTAAATAAAAAATAAATAAAGCCACTTTAATTAGATACACTAAAGTAATCTTTTCAAACATATGTCCAGACCATCATATGTGTGTAGCTTACAATGCAGCCTGTGAGTATGAAAGATTTTATTTACCCATAGAGTGTATTTAAAGGTAAATATAGAAAGCTTCTTCCCATGACTTCTTATTAAATAGAAAACTCCTATGTTTCAGTAGCACTATAAGTATTGTATATAAATGGTATACATGGTGAATTCGCAATAAATATGAGAAAAAAAAAACCTTTTACCTTTAACATCATCCGTAAACGTACTTATCAAACCCTAAGAACCTTTGATCTGCCAAATCAGGTAACACATGTGCAGGTTAACTATGTAGAATAAATTATATAGATATATATATATTAGTCGTGTTACTGCAAATTGACTGCTTTATTCTTTCTGGGGTTTGGGCCTTATGCCTAGGCAGAAGCTGCAGTGGAGCAAAAAAAAAAAAAAAAAAAAAAAAAACCCTAGCCATCCGATTTCCATATCAAAAGCCGCAGCCTGGGTAGATCAGGTGCTTTACCTCTGGGATTTATCTAGCTGGAAGCCAGGAGGGTCAGGTGAAGATTCTTAACTTTCCCTTATATGACACCATTCAAAAAAAGATTAGGAAAAGATACACATATGAAGTTTTACAAATCACAATTTAGAAGTTAGCATCTGCCTTCCTGCTTGTCGTAAGGAGAAAGCTGCTCAAAACAACAGGAGGAGCCCTGGAAGGATGTGGGTTTTGAATCAGAGTTTTGAATTTCAGGGTTTTCCACTTTCATTTGCGTCTTTGCTCTCCTTTCGGATCCCATTGTTGAGTGTAGGTGCTCTGCAGGGCTGCTTCTTCCCTCCCTAGATGTGTTCTCTTTTCCTCCATCTGCCTGCAGTTGCTGCCTTGTCATAGTGCCTGAGTCTGGTACTGCTGCTCTCCACAAGCTGCTCCAGTTCAGGCCGCATGAGGCCCCTTGCCCACATGCCTCTCATCCCAGGCTTTCTGTTATGTTTGCCCCCGGGGTGCCTTAGCCCTTTAGTTTAAACATGCAGAGGAGGTAGTGTTTGAGCTTCCACTTAGTTTCCACACCGCCTTGCTCCTGGATATTTGTATAAAGGACAAAAGGGCGGAGGAGTGAGTGTATGTGTGAACATGTGGACGAGGGTAATGTGAAGGAAGGAAGGAGGGAGGGTGGATAAAGAAGAGATTGCAGCTTTGAGGAGCTGCTGTAGTCTTATTAGTGTCAGATATGGCTTCAGTATCTGGGCCTAAATCCTCACTGGCTTGTGAATGTCTCTTAGCTTTAACCCTTTTTAATTCTGGATTCTTCTCCACAGCCACTCCTCAACCATTCCAAAATGTTTGTCAGTATAACATTGTTTGGAGGAATGAATCAGTCCTTATTTTTTGCTGTTAAATATTGTTTCCAAAACTGGGATTTGATTGTTCCTATTAATGAATTTTCAATAAAAGTACTGCTTTTGAACCACTCCTACCCTAACTATAAGTAAATAAATGGTTTGGTGAGCAGTGCAGGGGTCAAATTTAATGGGATTAGGGTGCTTGTTTAGGGTAACATTAGACTAGGTTGGGGGATCGAGTTTGTCAGATCAGGCATGTGTGCCATCCCAATCACTTTCTCCACTGTAGCTGACACTGTGTATAAAAGATTGACCATCTTTGGCCACCTACCCTTACCTAAGCCCCTACCCCTCTGCCGAAGTGCTCTTCCCAGAACTGATGGACAGCTTTGTTTCCTTTTCATTTCAGCCACAGATGAAGATATCCTTGCTAAAGGAAAACAGTCCATCAGGAGTCAGGCTTTAGGAAATCAGAACTCAGAAAACGAGATCCTCCTGGAAGGCGATGATGATACTCTGTCATCCGTGGATGAGAAAGATTTAGAGAATCTTGCCGGTAAATTTGGTGGTTGTGCAGATATTTCAGCTACCTCTGGGACAATAAGCATATAATTACTTACTTTTTCAGCTGTGACCACTAGGACTACCAAGTTTATACCCACAATTACATTAATTGGTTATTTCAAATACTTCCCCCCCTTCTACAGTTTCTCCTTTATTTTTCTATTCTATTCAGTCTTCTTACTCTCCTCATTTTTTTCTTTTGTGAATAATTTTCACTGAAAAAGAAAAAGTTTAAAAGCAGCAACAAAAGAACAAAATTACTTCACCCATCCCATAGGAGTTACCAAATCTCTGTAAAGTAAGACTATAAGTAAAATTCTGCCAGTTTTTTTTTTTTTTTTTTGTAAATAAAGCTTGGAAGGAGAGAAGCTATTTGCTTTGATATACAGGTCTTAGTGAACATGCTGTATATGCATGTAACTCTCTCAAATCAATTCCGAGAATGCCATGGCTTTTCACAACATTCACGTATTTTGCCTGATGTAGGAATTTTGATTTGCACTCTGCAGATTCTCAGTTTTACATCCCTTATGGGAAAAATTCTCTTGTTTAGCCGGAAATTTTAGTCATTCATTAAATGGCTTTTTTACTTTAATACCTGTGGCTCTGTCCCTCAAGGAAGAAAGTCTGAAAGGTTCTATAATTTCAATAGGTGAAAATTACATAGTATTCCATTTTGATAATTTTAAGAGAAAAGACATTAAAAACCTTGCTTTTGGTGACATATCTGCAACCTGTGCTACTATGCCACTTGGTAATGAAAAGCAAAAAGAGAAGATGGTATCTTCTCTGATAACTGTAAACCTCTCTATAAAGTAAAATAAAATTAATTGGTGGGAGTGGAGAGTAAGGTAGATACTGCTATTCTGTAGTCTTTTCCTTCACATCCATTTACCCATTTCTTCCTTTATTTTGCTTCTATTCTTGCTACTAGTAATACATTCATACAGTAATAGAGGTGAAAGGGGAGTTTAATTATATAATCTTGACAATGGCAATAGGATTAAGAAGTAATCCACACTAATAAAGTGGTGTGGGTTAGAAATGAAGTGGAAATTGTCAGGGGTCTTCTGTAGGACCTAGGCTGCCCTAGCTCTTGCAGCTGTCTGCTTACCCTGTAATTGAATGTCTGAGAGTGATTGAAAAAATGTTATTTCTTCTCAGTATTACATGCTAATGTACAGAGGGCAAAAGGAGACAGCAAAAGAACACATAGCTTCTTATTTCATCCATTTATAAGGATGAGCTTTGGGAAATCATGGCTGTTCTGCAGCTATCTGCTGCCCATCTGCAAACACAATGTATTTGTACATTGGGAATAGAGGGCAAAACCTGCTCTGATCTCCGCAGAGCATCCCTTCTATTGTCCTACTGGCACACATTAAGATTGATGTGAGATTAAGCACTATCACCCTTCTAACAATCGATGGAAATGTCAATTCATCTGAATTTTGAAACACTTATTCACCCATTGATTACCTGAATAGGCACAGCTTGTTTATAGGCACTATATTAATTCAGAACTATAAGTGCCAATCTTCTCTTATGCTGTTTTCTTCCCCTATAGGATTTATACCATGAGGAATTGATAATGGAATTTCAAATTCTTTCTACGTCGATCTCTCTCTCTCTGTGTGTGTGTGTGTGTGTGTGTGTGTGTGTGTATACACACACAGACATAACAGACATATATATGTAACATTTTTAGTTCATATTTTATATTTAGCTCTAATACACATTATGCTGTTCTGTCTGTAGTGAATCTATTGTTTTCAGTAGCAGTCTGATTTGTCTCTTTGATAAGCCCTGTGGAGATTTGATTATTCCAATAAAAATTCATTCACTTGGAAACCCACCCTCCAGCTGTTTACTCCCAGAGTCCCTGAACTACACTAATATTAGATTTGGAAGCATTGAACAATACTTAACAGTGGAAAGGAAGGCTTAGAAAAGAAGTATTTTTACCAGTCATTGATGGGGTAAAGTTGTTATGGAAGAGGTTTTGTGTCAAGCTGGCATAAAATCTCTATCAGAAAATATGGTTTAACATTTCCCACTTCATTAATAAGCTAGTGATCTTTTTGTAGCCATGCCTCTACCATACTGTAAGCTAACTGCTGGCCTTGGAAGCCTATTGAGGCTTCTTTGCTCCTGGTTGTTGTTCATGTTGTTAGATAGCCTGAGGCCTGTTTTCTAAATGGAATGTGGATGGACTTATTTAGGCAGAGCCACTTCTTACCTAGAGATTAGACCAAAGCTTTGCAGACTCCCTGTAAAATAATTGCATCCTAGTTTACTGTTATCATTAACCGCCTGTTATAGATCTTGTAGTATGAGAATCCTGACTTTGCATTTTCAGAGGAAGATTTGGGGTGGACAGAATATTTAACTGTAGAAGTAGTTGGCAGGCAGTTCAGTACTAGACGTGAGAATGAAAAGATTAAATACAATTTCTGGTCGAATTTGATTTTTTGAAAAATGTCATTCCAACTTGTGTGGCTTGTCTTTTCCTTTTGGCAGGTCCTGTTAGCCTGAGCACACCAGCTCAGCTTGTGGCCCCCTCTGTTGTAGTAAAGGGCACTCTTTCTGTCACCTCCTCCGAACTCTATTTTGAGGTGGATGAAGAGGATCCTAACTTCAAAAAAATCGACCCCAAGGTGAGAAGATGAAGGGGTTTCATTTTTTCTTATGATGGGATGGTGGGTGCTGTTGGATAGGATTGGGATTGGTAAATCTGACAGGCTTAGTTTGAATTTCTTCTAAGTTGCCTTGGCTTATATGCAATGTCATTATCTTCTTTAGTTTATGATTCCCTACCAGTTAGTTAGATTATTGAAGTTCATTTAGATTCAAAAACAAATTCTACTTAATGACATTTATCATTAGCTCTTTGTGAGGAGGGGAAGGAACCTCCGAGAACATTGTCTATAAATATATTTTGCCTCAAAGGGTCAAGGGTGAATTAAGATACAAAATTCAGTGAGATTGAGAGTGGAATTATTTTGTTTAGCCTTTATGTTTTCTGGATATGATGCCAATATATCACTCTCCTTGCTTTGTCCCCATGACTTACTACTCTGTCGTGCATGCAAGCATGTTTTGTGTGTGAGATACCTCTGTTTCCCATTACCTATAGTAGATTTTACAAGGCACTGCATAATTTTCTATTCTTAAATGAAAATGTAATTTCCCCTTTAAAATATATTTCTCATTACTTTTCAGACCCTGGCAACTTTGTTTTTACTAAGAAACATTTGTAGCACAGTCATAAAAACCAAAATTAGGTTTATTTCAAGAAAAAGAATGGTATAATTTGCTCTGAGAGGAAACAGTTTCTTTTAAAAATGAGCAAAATAAGCAATCTGTAGAAAAAGGTGGCTTAAAAAGTGGAATAATTTATTTTGCAGGCTGATAGCATATGTTATGTACATGTATATACATACACATATTTTGAGTTTTTTGGTAGGTTCTTTGATTTTGTAATCATGTGAATTTTTAAATCTGAATGATTTAGAAGTATTTCAAAGTAGTAGCTCTTGATGAAAATATTATAATTTTGTTTAAAACTATACAAACAAATCATGTCTCACACATATTTCTAGCACTTTGTTTCAATATTGCTGCCTTTATTAAGACAGGACTTGGTAGATTGTATGAAACTGATTGTTTTGAGCTTGATAAGTTAACTAATCCAATGTAGAGAAAACTTGCTAATTCTGAAATTCTATCAATTAAAAATTTTTTCTACTTTGTCCCATGACTGAAATGTCTGAAAATGCATTAGTTTCTTTAGGAAAGGAAGGTTACCAAAATTAAACTCTCTGATTTCTGGTAACTTCTGAATTTAAGAAAGACTGGGATTTAATTCAAGATATTCTATCATGCTTTTAAACACATATAGAGCAAAGCCTAAAATTTGATTTAATTTAAAAGTGTCTAATTAATTGTTCTGAAAATTAGAATCTCTGCCAATGTGTGAGATTAGGTTCTTTGAAGTTATTTGCTCCTTTTAGAGAAGTTACAAGTTTTGTCTCTCTCTGATCTGATTCTGTACAGCATCATTAAATTATTTTTTTCTTGTTGCTTGTGAAATATGGAGATCTTTTGGCTCAATGAAGAAATGGTCTGTATCACTGCAACCTTCCTTATATTCCAGAAGTTAAAACTCCTGCCAATTTATATTAAAAACAATTTTTCAGTCAGCTACTGGGAGAAGTTTTAATTTTGTATAGATGTTAATGCTTTAAGGTGTTCTGTAAATGAGGACATTTATGTTCCTGCAGTGTTTTTCCTTTTTAACTGATACCTGCATTAAATTAAATAAGGAAGAAGAAAATATGCTGAATTGGGGATATTTTTGTTTCTTTTTGTCAAGACTTAAAAACTTTTTTTCTGGAATAGTTGGAGGGAGATGTATGTCTACTGCTGTAAATACTTTTGTGAGTGAGAAAAATGGTCACTTATAGATATTCTTTTTATCTTTGAAACCAAACACTATTCCTTTAAATCATTTTGTGCAAATGTAAGCACCTACTGTTTGTTTGAAAATGTTTTTAAAATTCAGAACATTTTCCCCAGAGAATAAATTGGTTTTTATAATTTAAAAGAATTTGTTTGTTTGAGCCACTTAATATTACTGTGAAGAATACAGGAAGAGCAACTAGAAAAATAGATATAATAGAGGTTGAGTTGAAAGAGTGGAGATGATTTCAGAACTGATAGGATCAAAGTTTATATTTTTAACACAGGACTGTTTTTACCAAGGAATCTTACACAACTTAAGCCTGTTTGTCAAGTGAACTAGGCTTCAGACCCCTGAGTGGCTTTCTTGTTTTTCATCTATTCTGCTATCCTGCTGCTCATCCCTCCATACAGCCCTTCCCCCTCTCAAACTTCTTCCTCTGATCTTTAAAATTGCCTTTAAAAACATTTTTCTCTACACCTCTCATTTGTGCATTTTCTCAATAAATTAAAACCTGGGCTAATACAAAGAATAAATGTTAGATATTAAAGGGTAACATCTGACATATATTCTGTACCTGTGTCTCATCATTAGCATAGCGAATGGAGTATATAGTTACCTTCAACATAAGCAAGACAAACCAATTCCTTTGGGATACTTTCTGTTTGACTAATTATATTATTTTCTAATCAGTTATTCCCTTGCATTAAAAAGAAACCTTTGTTAAAGCTGAAACATTGAAATGAGTATATTGGTTTGTTACCTTAGAAAAACAGAAAGAGGAGGAAGGTACTTTTCCTATTTCTAAATCCTGGAATAATAATTTTTCTTTGGTTATAAAAATGGTATGAAAACCTTTTTTGTTTGAATTGCATATAAGCAGTTTCAGAATAATTCTTGAAATTTGATTAAAATAATCATACTTATGGAATTTACAACTAAGCCATTTTAAAATGGAAGTAATTTATAAATCTGAATGGTTCATATCACCATATGCTTGGGGAGAGGATTATTGCTATAACCATTGTATTTTTTGTTGTGGTTTATTTAATTGTTAAATTTTTATCACTCAAAGCTTGAAGAGGACAAACGGTTGAAGGAAAAGTATCAACTGACTTTGTTAACTATTCAGAAAAATCCATAAATATTTCCTTTGTATATCGGATTCAGATTGGATTTTTTGAAATTATGGCATAAGAAAGCACATCTCTTAATTTTTAATGTGAAAAAGTTTTTTCTATTTTAAAAATTAGGATCAAAATATTTTCTTTCATACTTTTTTCCCAAGCGTGAAGTAGATGTTACTTTTAATCTTAACATCTACAGAACAAATATATATTATAGTTGAGTAAAATTAGTGTTTTCTATTTTCTAAGGATTTGGGTCGGAACTTATACAGTCAATTCTACAAAATGTACTGTATTTAAAATTTTGCAAATCAGTTCAAGTGGAAGCTTCTTGCATTTGATTCCTCGTCACATCTTTACATTGGAAATTATAAACTGTGATCTCACCTGCCTTCACTTAAGAACAATCCACAAACAGTCAATTACAATGTAAAGTAATGTTTTTATTACTGTTTTCAACAAGACAGCTCAGGGTGAGGGTAGAGGTTCAGGAGAGGGAGGAGCACAGTCTGACATTGGCACTGAGAACGTTTAACATCAGTAAAACTTTTTTTTAAAAGAGAAATTTTACATATAGTTAAATAATTTTTTCACTTGGTGACAACATTCAGGCAACCAAAAGCAAAACGAAATGGGGGGGGGGATGGGGTGGAGAGAAAAAGGATAGGGGGAAAGAAGGAAAAGGGGGGGGAACTACTATACATTGATTTGAAAATGTACCTTGGGTTTCATTTTGTGGTGGCGGAGCCCGATTGCTTCTTTTGTGTGACCTTTTAAATTCACATTGTTTGGAAGAAAACGATCACTTTTGTGCAAGAATGTGATTTGTTTTGGTTGGGTTGCTCTCTTTTTGTTTGCTTCTTAATTAATGAAGGTCTTCTGCCGGATTCCTATTTCAGGTGACTTACATAAAAGTTTGTGTCCAGAGTTTCTGCTGTTTATAGCAGAGTTGTGTGTCTGAGAGAGCACGCCCGTTTGTGTCGCTTTTCAAGCAGTCCCCAGCACCCTATAGTTTGTCCAGGCTTTTGGGATTGGTGAGAATTTCCCTGGCCAACCTCCAGGTCTGCTTGGCAGCGCTCTCCAGGGCCGAATGGGGCTTGCCCTGAAAGAGGTCGAGGTTGGGCAGAAAGTAGTGAGGGCAGCGGCGGCACTGCAGGCAGGAGATGAGCTGCAGCAGGATGCCGTTGAGCCGGTCGCCCAGGCACGACTCGTCCCAGTCCGTTTCTCGTGGGTGTTTCTCGCACTCGTACAGCAGCAGCGTCTTCATGTGGTAGTTGTTGAGCGGCTGGCCGGGTAGCTCCAGGTGGCGGTCCCGCAGAGTCTTCAGCACTGAGAGGCACTTGTTTCGGCAGCCGCCCATCAGCAGGCGGTTCTCCGCCTCCCCGAACTGTAGCACCCAGGCGTCGCTCTCTGCCGAGCTCTGCTTGCCGGTCAGCGAGTAGCACTCCTTCGAGAGCAAGTTGAACCCTTCGGCCTTGACCTCGGCCACCCGATTGGGGCCGGGCCAAGGGATGTGGGGCATAGGCCACTGTGCCGCGCTGCGAGGCCAGATCCCGGTGCACTTGAACGCCGGAGTGATTTGCACCACATAGCGCTCCCTGATGCGCAACTTGACCTCGCTGGTGTCCGCGATCATCTTGACCACATCCCGATAGCTGCACTTGTCCACCGCCTGGGCCACCAGCGTCTGGAAACGCGAGCGGATCTTACGCGCTGAGAGATAGCCCGACGCCGTGATGAACTCGACCCAGAGAGACATGCTCCGCTTCCGCCCATCGCTCAGTTTGAGCACTGCGCAGCCGGGCAGCGAGCCGTCGTCCACGAAGTTGAAGACGCCCATCTGGTTTAGGTAGAGCACCACCTCAAATTCGGTGGGCGAAATGACCTCGAGCCCCTCGTAGCGGGCATCGATCTCGCTCAAGGAGCTGATGAAGCGAGGCTCCTGCACCTCCACTTCCTTGAGCACGTCCGAGACCACCTTACAGACCTCTCGGATGGTTTTGGCGATGGCCGCCTTGCGCGCCTGACAGCGCTCAGTGTAGTACTTATTGAGCTGGTAAACCAGCTTGGCCTGAGCGGCGATCATGTTGGGGCACAGGTCCGGGCTATACACCGGCGTCTCGCAATACGTTGAGGGATCCAAGGCTCACGCACTGGTGGTGGCCCAGCGGCTTTCGAAAGAGGCGGTGCGCTCCCCGTTAAGCCCTACTTTCACTCTCGTTTTCCACCTGGGCTGACCGGCTGATACCGTAGCCGGCTTGTTTTTTCCTTTTCCCTCTTTCGAAACCTCTTTTCTTCTGCAGAAGAATTAGGGGAGAAAAGGTGATTTTCTAAAAAGAAAAGTACCTCTTGGAACCTTTTTGCTTTCTCTTGATATGTAAAGATGACCGTGTGCGAGAGAAGCGGGGTGGGCGTGAGGAAGGAGAAGGAGAGGGAAAAAACTCAGGATACCAAAAGGTTAGGCTTAGATGTCTGCAGCCGAGATTGTCCAGAAATCTGGAAATGAGGTTTTTTAAGTGCCAAAGTAAATTTAAAAATAAAAGCGAAACATTCAGTGGTTCATTCTTAAACTTCTCTTCCACGCTGATAGGACTTCTTCGCTCAGTGTAGGTGAGTGCCTTCTTCCTCACCCTCCCCCAAATGGAAGGTGCAGGAGGTAATTAATGTCCAGAGAGCTGCGAAGTACAACTCAGTCCGCCGTGCACTTGGAGGTTTGCTGACGCCCCACAGTCTCAGCGTGTTGGTCTCGTCTCTTCTCGGGGGGTCGTGTTATCGCAGTTTTCCTCTTTTCCTACTGGAGGCGTTGTTTGGACTGGGTTTGTTTGTTTGTAGTGGGTTCTCCTTGTGTTTCTTTAGGTGCAAACCGCTGGAAGTTGTTTGATAATCATTTCTGCTTCGTAATTTATACTTTTGGCCCTCACAAAATCCGTTTTAGTGTGACGAAGTCGTTGCTTGCGTTGCATCTGGGGTGTAGTTATAACGATTCAGGGTTTTCCTTCTTCTCCTCTAGCTTGCTTTTACAGATTCCACTTTCTGAGTCGTCTCTCCCCCTCCTCTCCCCTCCGACCTCTTTCTCGCCCCGCTCTCCCCCTGCTTCTCTCCCCCGCCCCCCTTCCTCGTGCTCGCTCTCTCTTCTTTCCTCTAACTCTCTCTGTCTCTCTCTCTCCCTCTCTCTTTCTTTCTCTCTCTCCCTCGCTGTTTCCTGGAGTTATTTAGTTTATGAATGGTCCCAGGGCCATCATGAGGGGGTGGAGCTTCAGTTCCTACAATCGCTATCCGAGCTGTCAGTGCTTTAGCCAATCCGAGAGAGAAGACAGGCACGCTTGGCGAACGGTAGCAGCCACCACTGCACTTGATAAAGAAACAGGGTAAAGAGAGAAGTAAGAAAATAGGAGGAGATAATGGGAGTCAAATGCTTGCACACATTTTACAGCCGTTCCTCTTTATCCTCCTCTCTTATCAGTAGCAAAGAAGAAAAAGAGTTTATATAGAAGGGACTCTCCTGGAGATGGCTGGAATAACGCGAGGGAGAGTAGCAATGGTTCAGAAAGGTTCACTTTTTTTTTTTTTAAATGATTCTATCAACATTGTGTAGTAGAAGGTGCAAACTGTAACAAAATTACTTTGGCTTGAAGGCAAATGGGAAGCGAAAGGGGAATCTGGGAAAGGACCTAATTTTTCCAGGTTTTTTCCTCCTTTAAAGTCATCCTCCTTTCTCTTCCCCTCCCCTCCCATTGTTGCCAAGAATCAGAGCAGTTGCTGTATATGTGCACCAGTGAGGGTTGGAGTGGATATAAGGTGAGGGTTTATAAATCTCTTTTTAGTAATTTCGATATGCTGTTTAAAAACAGGGCAGGGCAAAAACTAGTCCAAGCACCTTGTTTGATAATTATTTCATAATTAAGATTCACATGTATTTAATACCATTATTTTATCGTTACAAGAATTAACTAGTTACGAGAGAGAAAATATCTAAGTTGTGAGAAATGGTGCAAACTTACATGTCGTAGAACTTAGTAGGATATACTTTTAAAATAAGCTACTAAAATTGCTTCAAACTTAATGAAAAACAAGGCAAGTAAATGTAAACCTAAAGTTTTCTTAAAATCTTACTGTTGTAAATCTAATTGTGAATGTATTCTTAGGGGGTACAGGTACAGAGTTTCATTTGTAAAATGATTTTATTTTCATAATTGACTCTTGCTTTTAAAAGACTTCACTGCCACAAAAATCTATAACTATCCTGTTATTGATTACACAGATGGCTTCACTCCTCCCTAGGCATTTCAATGAAAGGCATGCATGTGCTTTTAGTATATGTATTATCCTAAACGAGTTGTACCCACTGTAGCCTTTCCATACTTTTGGGTGAAAAAAAAAGCTAGAACATTGTTTCTGATTTGCTTGATACTGAGGGTTTATGTATGAACCTAAGATGTCTGGATTCTGAATCTTTTTAACGTATTTCAGGTAGATGTGATTATTTTTAGTTTGATTTGGGAGGTTATATTCCAGCCCTGGGTTATGCGATAAAAATAAAAATCTATGCGTCCATTTGGGTGAAGACTTCGTTTTAGAAACCTGGTAGTTCGGCTTTTTCAAAACCCCTTGGGAGGGCTTGACTTACCCTCTTAAAGTCCGGCCGGGTGAACCTGAATTGAATTGCATAGGGAAGTTAATTTCTTTCTATCTACTTGGTATCAGACAATTGGGCCTCTTGGTTCTTTCTTACATACCTGGTGCGGACCACAGGCAGTTTGTCACCCTTCCTCTCTCGTTGCCATAAGTCCCTTTCTAAGGAATATTTGCTTAAAAAAAAACTATCTCGGATTTGTTGCTTAGGGTTTGTCTTCCCGCGATTAGGAAGAAGAGTCAGAATTAAGTGTCCGCGCGACTCTTGGACTCCAGAGCTTTAGTTAACTTCTCTGGAGTGGCAGAGACTTGGGCTGCTTGACCTCCAGCCTTCTCCGGGGAGGCCGCGTGCGTCCCGGAACGCCTCGCCGCCTAAGGATCTAGGGGACCTCGCGCCCTCGGAGTTCGCGCCTGTGGGAGCCCGGCTCTAACCCGGGAGGCCTTGCCGGCGCTCTGGGAACTGCCTGGGCCGGAGGGCACTGCGCTGCCGGGAGAGCGCGACTGGCCGGGAGGGGCTCCGTGGTTGCTTCTCCGGGGGCAGTTACTGGGCGGAGACTGGTGGCGGGGATAGAGGGTGCGGAGCTTTCCCGCCCCACTCTCGAGGTGGTCGCTTCGTCGTTGCGTCTGGTTCGCGAATGGCCCGGCCCGCGACGCTCCCGAGAGTGAGTGTTTGCAAACAGCCTCAGGGGTGGCGGAGTTGGTTCGCATGGCTCCGCCGCCGCGCCGCAAGTCCTGCGCCTTCTCCTCTTCTCTCGGGTGGGGCGTCCCAGGCCGAGCGGACCTTCGCGCCACCACTCGCCGGACACTCCGCTGCACCTCCACTGGCGGCTCTGTCAAGCTCGGCTAAGTTTTCTCGCATCCTTGCCCCTACGCTTCTCCACTTTTACATACAGAGGGAAGGATGATAAAACGTTACAAATGTTTTGATTTAAAAACAATTCATTACCAATTTACCCTGTCTTAGGTAGATGCTCTAGTAAATAATAAATCAGTTAAACAAAGGCGACTTTAATTTATGGCCGTGGTACTAATTAGAAACATCATTCGAGCAATAAACTTAAACACTTCCAGCAAATAATGCTCCCTCTTGCTGGTTCTCTTTCTCCCCCCTCCCCCACCCCAACTCACTCTGGCTGCCTCTGCTCTAAGAGCAGCTTCAGCTGCGCCTTTGCGGTCCTCTCTTCCTCTGGTTGAATAATTGAAGGGGGAAACGGTATCCGAGGAGGCTGTAATTGAAGAGCCCCTGTCACCTCTGCTTTTATGTATGTTAGTATAGAAGTCCATCAGCAGCTCCTTGATGGTGTATTAAAACGAACTGGCAGCTCCTTCTGCAGGAGATACTATATTCTATTAAAGGAGACCAAGTGAGAGAAAGAAACTCTAGAGGCTAAAAGCCACTTCAAGTCTTCAGACCGATTCATCTGTATTCTCTTGTTATAATCCGTCTCATCATACTTGAGTTAATGAGGCAAAGGAGGGGGTGCGAAATCTGATGGTCCTTGACAAATTCATTAGGGAGGCTGCAGGACATTTTATTTGACTGTTAAACATCTTGTTTGTTTGGCTTAGGCAGTGCCAACATTGGCATGCTTCAGCCCAGAGCTGTGGTGCTGGGCTAGCTGCAGGACATTCCTAAAAAGGGAAGGAGGACATTCAGGGTGTGATCTGAATTTTTTGTTTTGGATATCAGGTAGTCCGTAACCTTCAGACTTCTCTAGGCTTTACCTCTTGCATCATTACATTAGGAACATAAAGAATGTAGGTGATAGTACTGAAGTGGGCATGTTTTTAGTTACTATAAACTAAAATATGAGGATGTTTAAAACTTTAGTCTGAAAATTTCCCAGTTTCTTCAAAAAATTGAGTCAGGTTGTAGTAATTACGGTACTAGTTTTATAGCAATGTGAATGTTTAAGGTCCAGTCAAATAACCAGATTACTCATTACATCCTATTTTTACTTATCATGGTTAAATAAACTTTTAATTATTAATGGAATTTCCTATTTCACCGAAACCTTTATGAGTACAGAAACTTGGAAATAAAAAATTAACTATTTATACAAATATATTTTCAAAAAAAATTGGCATATTTTAAGGAAATTTTTATAATTAAAATTAGAAGCAAAACTGAATACTTGGTGTTAAAATAAGGTGATGAGTTGACAGAGTACTTTAAAAAGTGAAAATATTTCTAATTGAAGAATAATGGGTAATTAAGCTAGAATGCTAACCTTACAATGTTTTATTCTAAGATAATAATACAGTATTAGATTTATCAACATGTCCTTGAAAAGTAGTAAATAATCCAATTGTGATACTTTCTTGCATAGAGAATTCAGTTGTATTTTTCCTTCAGCATTGACTGAGCTTGAGCTTAAGTGCTTTGAGAAAGAATCCTGTCTTCCATTTATAGGAAAACAGTATGGAAGTAAAAAAACCTAATGCCCTTTGCCTGTCATTTTTATACATTCCTGCACTGCTGATGAAGCTTGAACGGCTGCAGGGAATGTATGGATTTGAAAAGAAATGATGCAGTAGTTCATGTTGTGTTTCTCAGGAGCCAAACCAAACTAATGGCTGAAGTCAGTGCTTCTGTAATCTGACAGTTATAATCCTGTTTATGTTTCCAGAGAATACAAAATTCTTAAACTGTTTTATTTTTTGCTGATCTTTACTTAAAAATGTATTTACTGAGTTAACGTCAGTGCATTTGTTACTTTATCATGTTAACGAGACTTAAAAGGTATCTATTATTTTATTATCTGTAAAAATAATATATTGTATCTCAATAATCTTTACTAAAGAGTAAACAAATTTTAGAATACATGATCTTATTTTCCAGGAAATATTTTAGAAGCTTTCAAAAAATAATCAGATTATTGACTTAAGAAAAGAAAGCATTTCTGGAGGATTTATACTTTTTGGAAAACAAAGGACCACGTGTTTACTGGTATATAGTCTTATCCTCTAAATTCTAACTTTGAAACATCTATGTGGGTGCTACATTTTTAGTTCTTATATACTTAATCATTCTACATACTTATGAAAATGCTTTTTTTTTTTAAAAAAATGAACATTGATTTTTATTTTTGGTCAAATTGTAAATGAGGAAATAAAACACTATTAAGTTCTCTGAATTTAAAAATTATTTCACTAAAAACAGAAAGAAAAGTAAATAACCCAGATATGATTTGTTAGTGTATTCTAGTTGATGAAATTTTATTGAAGTAATTATATTTAAATATATGTAAGATGTGTTAATGACAGTCATCAAGATTATACTGTCCACATTATAAGTCACAGTAAAACTACATTCTCTTTTATTCTCTGTCAAAGGATTTAATTTTCTAAAATTCCAAAGTGTTAAGGAGATTGTTTCTAAGCTACTTGTAATTATTATTCTGGAATCAATCTAAAATAACCAGTAATTGAATGTTTGCCTTGAACAGTTCACCATAGTGCCTGTTAATAATTTTATATGGTCAAGCATGCTGTTGAAACAAGTTATTCTTCCCCCCTCACAAAATAGCCTTAATAAAAAAAATTTTTTTTTACTCTCTTTGATTAGTAACCCAAGGGTATTGTTCTCATTTGAACAGGTTGAACTTCAGATAATTTTATGTCAGGTAAAAGCAGTAGCTTTAATTTTGTACAGTAAGCCTATCAAACTGTACTGAAAAATAAAATGCTTTTATGTACTTTTGATGAGTATTGTTTGTGGGCCTTTTAAATTTGTTTGGATTGCCTTAGATAATATATATGATTAGAGATGTTTGTTACCTATTAGACTTTACAAATATAATTCTTGTATTATATAGTGGAATGAGAAAATTGAGAGTATGCTGTATATCAGGGTTTTCCCCCAAGTTGAATAGCAACTGCATAAATGAGTACTTTATTAAACTATACATAATTTGATGTCACCAAAAATATACAATGATAGAGTAAGGGACTTGTGCTCAGGAAAATTAAAGTAAGCAGCTTTTAGCCTGACTAAGAAGTAAATGCCATTATATTATTGCGCTAGAATGTGCAATGTTAACATCCAAGTTAATTCAGCAAGTATTTTTTAGAAAGTTTCTTTGAACTTGCTATATTCACACTTATATTGGCATATGTCTTTTGACCTTACCAAGAAATCGTGTATCTTTTTCTCATTTTAAATGTATACATTTTTGAGTTGTAACACTACATTCTTTTATTTACATACATAGTTAAGCAGTTCTGAAAAGTTGAAGCAAAATTTTTAAAAATTTTCTTTTCCTATTCTTCCTTGTTCCTTCCTTCTTTTCCTCTCCCCTCCTCCTTTTTTTTTTTTTAAAAACCAGTTTGAACTTATTAATGTACTATTAGATAAATATTAAATTTTACCTGCCAAATAACTTTGACTTTCATAAGTCACTATTATCTTCACATGAAAGGGTATATTTGGTAGAGCCAACTGTTAACTTTAAGAAATGATTGTATAATTTGTGGATTATTCTTTGTGACTTTTCTACCTGGAGAACCAAATTTTGCTGGCCTTTAACATCACTTCCAGAAGGTAGACAGAAAAACCAGGATCAGATAATAATGAATTTAAGTGTTAAAGAAAATTGAAAGCTGACCTTATGGTTTCAAGGTGTGATATCTTTTGTTTATGAAGATAATATTATTGACTCACATTGTGAGCCAAAACAATGTGTGTGAAACAAAAATTGTGTAGAATATGTTTCTTAGGATATTAAATCCATCCCCACTCCCTTTCTACTTTCTCTTGTGATCAGTGCCAGACATTAACAAAACAGATGAGTGAAATTAGAGACGTAGATTATGCTAGTGTTGAGCTGTACTTGGTTCAAAATATAATATTTGGCATTATGTGCTATTTCTTTCAGGTCATATGAGACATTTTGTGGGTCTATGTTTAAAATTATTAGTTAAGCATATCGTATGGGTAGGTTTTTGTTATACTTTAGGAGCACTAGCCATTTTAAACATTTTATTTAAAAATGTATTGGTTCTGTAGCACTCTATATTATTATGAATAGTAGTAATTTGGCATTGATCATCTGCTAAGATTACAAGAAATACTTAATGGACTTTGTGTTATTTTTAATGGAAATGTTAAAAATCTAGCCTGCCTCATCCTTTAAATGTTATGAATTAGAGTAAAAGTGATGTGCAGAGAGGTTTCTCTGATTGCTTGTAGTGGTTAAACAACAACAACAAAATGCTTCATTGGTTGTAATCTATGTATGGAAGACATCTGTGTAATATAAATGAAATAATATTTAATGATCTAAGGAATGGAAACTTTTCCTTTAACCATCTGATATAAAGCTAGGATATAAAACAGCTGTCTTGGCCTATGGATATCAAGGTTCTGCCAGTCTCTTTCCTGAATTTTTCCTTCCTATCTTCCCTTATTATCTTTGGATCATAAAGAGTCATTCTCTTATTTTCTGACTGATTTGGTATATAGGTAATTAGGTTTAAAATCGAGGTTAGTACGTTTAGATCCATCTAGACTGAGTAGAAAATCTTTGACCTGTAGCTATGACTGTTTTCAAATGATTTGCTTGCTGGGATCAGACACTATCCATACCCTTTCACTTTGCTATCAGCTATGTACACACAAAGGAGCAGAAAGATGACCAGATGCTTAGTTAATCATCATATTTGGTCAGTAAAGGATTCCAACCATACTTAATTGGGCCTTCTATTTCTAATATTTGTTGGGTAACTTTTTGGTTAAATGCTCTACGAATAATCTAATCTTTTCTGCTAATCAAAGCTTTCTATAAACTTTATAAATTAAAAATGAATGATACAAATCTATAGATATGTATTTTAAATGTAAGGTGGTTGCTATCCAGAATACCTGGATAGATAAAAGGAGACAGTGTGAACGTATCAGCAAAGCATCAATCTAGGAAACAAAAAGTCCCAAATTTTTGTCCTGGCTTGGTTACCTGGGTGACTTTGATCAAGTCACTATCTTTATCCATTATTTTCTCAATTGCTAAATGAGTGGGTTGGACTAGGTAATCTTTTCTATCTCTTCTAGTTAAAAAAGTCTAAAATTTTCCACCATTACATGACTAAATTTGTTGACATCTTTGTTTATTTCTATCAGAAATCTTTCTGCAGATGTTTAGGCTTTCAGTGCTGCTCTAACGTAGGTATATGAAAGTTTTTAAACTCAGACAAGAATAAGCTTATAGATATTTTAGATTTATGGAAAAAATTTACAAAATATAGTTTGGAGACAACTGTGAGGGACAATGAAGTAGCAACTTGGGAAAAATCCTGAGTATACTAATTATTGCTTGATAGGGGTTGAATCATAAAATTATAAAACAAAATGCAGTATGTGTTCCTGTATATAGAAAAATAATATATGTTTATATAAACAATATGTTTTTTTCCCTTAAATATTTAATGGACTGTCAATGTTTTGGACATTTTAATGAACATTGGGTATTGTGTAAATATTAGTTCTTGAAGCCAAAGTAAGTTCCCATTCACAATTAACTTAAAAAAATAAATTATTGGTCTTCTCCTTAGAGAAATGACATTGTGCTAAGCAACTATGATATTACCAAGTTCCTACTGTGTTAAAAGATAGATCTAAGCAGGGAAGTGGTTTTCAAAACATGAGTCACTAAACAAAGGAAAGTTTTATACTGCTTTCTCATGCTTTTCACTTGTTTTCATCAGAAGATCTGACAAGCATAAAAGTGTTAACATCTTTTATTTTACAGATGTTCTTAGTTTTCCCTCAAACTGTAAAAGATGCTATATCAGAGTAGCTTGGTAGGAAATAATTTCAACACCTCCTTTCACTTACGTGATAACTTATTGTTTGTCTAAGCTTGTGGATACTTTTGGAGAGAGTGAATTGAGGCAAGAAAAGATAGCATATTGAGATCTAATTGTTCTCATTTTGACATATATACCAGTCAGTCTATCTGCTATATTATATAGTCTCTCTAAAATAGGTCTTAAATGGGCATTGTTATTTTTACTTCTGTGTTATGGTCATTGAAAGTCCCTAATTAGTGCAATGGGAGTGCCAGGTGACCAAAAGGAGTTGTTGATGGGCACTCTGTGGGTTTGCAAAGTGCAAACCTAAAAGACTGAGAGATGAGAAATGCATTGCTATTTGTGAATTTATGTTTTATCTCACTTCACTTGAAAATTTATGAGTAGCGTGGCTTAAGGGTGCTGGAGTTGTGTGTTCCAGGGCTTGCCCCTACTGATAACACCCTTGTTGGCGTGAAAGTGCAATGCAAATTATGACAGTTACAACCTTCTGTTTTGTTTAACCTGTCAGTAGATTTCCTGGCTCAGTGCTGAGGGCAATGGTGTGTTCAGCTAGTCCATATTCACCTAAACTTAAAAGGTCAGGTTTCTACAGGCAAGCCTAGTCAAAGCCTAATTGATGAGGAGGGCAGGGAGGCAGAATTTACTGTTCTGTTGGCTAGTTTCATATCGTTAGGTTGTCCTGAAAGCATCAGGCAGTCACAGCCCCTTTCATGTAAGTGCTGACCCTAGACAGGAGCTGACAATCAAAGGAGGCAGCCACAGGAACCAGTGCAAGTAGGCTATTGATTTTTCAGTTAGGTCTAAGTAGTTTGTAGTATGGGTAATGGGTGACAGAGGCAGGTATGTCATTATCAATGAGCTCCAGAACAGTAGCAACAACCCTCCCTCATATTTCCTTCAGCACTGACAGTATGCATCCAGAGGCGGTCAATAAATCGCCCAACCTTTAACTGACAAGTGACTTGGAGGTTTAGGTTGAGGAGTGGAAGTTACAGAGCTAAACTTCCTTACTTGAACTTGTACTGGATCTAGCAATGGAGTCAGTAATTATATTGTAACTTTTTGAAGTTTTGATTTAGATAAGTCTGTGCAACTGTGAGAATCAGAATTTTCAATGTTTGAGAATTTAAGAGGCATATTTACTTAGTCAAGTAAAGGTAGAAATGAGCCAATCATTTATAAATGTATTCTGCAAAGATAATTAAGTTGGGTTATTATGGTACAGTTTTGCTTTTAGTTTAGACTAGCTCCTTATTTAATCAAAGATACTCCTGTTATAAAAGTTCAGTAGTTAGAAATTGCCTCTCAGAATCCATTTTAATTCCTAATCTCCTCTTACATGTTCTAATTGCAGACCAATTTTAAATAGAAAAAAAGAAAAAACAAACCATTTGTAAATGGCACTAAGCAGTTGCTGTTTGACTTTCTGTATTATTTTTCAGAATAAAATAGGAGTAGAAGGATCGTTTAATGACTAAAGTTTGATGAATTGTACTTGCTTCTGATTTACAAAGAAATAATGTTGATTTTTGCTTTCAGAGCATTTCATGTGGTTATTTACATTTTAAAAAGATACAATTTATGCTCATGTAAACACAAAAGTGTTACATGTTTTGACTAAAAGTACATATGTTCTAAAAGGGATATAAAATAATTTCAAGATAATTTAAATTTAAACCAATCTCTATTTTGTTATAATACCTAAGTAATACGAAGAGATGATAATATTTATAACTAGAAGTGGGAGTTTGGGTCGTACCAGGACCCTTGCAAACTATCACATGCTTACATTAAAAAAAAAAACTTTAAACAGATTGAAATAAAACAGAAAAGTAAATGTTTTTAAAAACTTCCTTAAATAACTTATTGCTATGATATCTTGTTTAACATTGTGATATTGTACAGAACCAGAGTTTGTCTGTAGTATCATCTAGCTGTAGAGTACCCTGCTTGGCCAAATGAATCACTTTCATTTGTCCAGTGCAACTGAAAATTTCTCAAAAAAAAAAAAAAAAAAAAAAAAACAACTAACCAGTAGGTTAATGCATACTAAAGGTATGAATGCTTAAGTATTTTCTTCAGTTTATAGTGATATTTCTGTGTGAATGCCCCTGTCTTTTTGTTTACAAAATGGAGAATACAAATTTGAAACCTAGTGAAAGATGGCAACTATCAAAGTGTTATCTTAGTTTTAAAGAAGCTTGGGATTATGTTAATATTTAGGGAAGTTTTATTTGGATTCCTTGAATTAGTTACCTTTTGAGGCTTATGGATTCTTAAAGCAATAAAGCAATATTCCTTTTAAAATCATTGTTTTTCTTCTGTTTATTAATCATTGATTTAATCTGTGTTTTTCTGTTGGATTAGAGAAAAGATTTACCTGAGAATCTTGCAATCTCTATATCATTAGCTATATTATAGGTAGAGCTTCTTTGCTTTATCTGTAATCTCTCCTGAACACGTTGCTTTTTCAGGAATGAAAAAAAAAAGAAGCTGCAGAAAGGGGTACAAATTAAATTTTCATGAAAGAAAATCCTAATCAGCAGTGACAGTGTAAGAGAAAGATGATTGCCACTTGGTCATTGTGGAGAGGCACTTAGATTTGGTGTCAGTGCTTCTGTTAATGATGACTAATGTCTTTCTTGGAGCAAGTGCATGCTCAAACATACTGCTACAGCATATAGAGGGAGAGGCCTCAGTAATAGGCATCAGTAAGCAAAAGCATTAGTTGTCTTAAAACAAAGACTTTTTAATACAGTCAATTTGACACTCTGTATTATTAGAAAAATACAAACATAATTCTAAGGCATTTAACCACAAATTTTGAACTATTTTATGTTCAGTACTAAGAGGTAATATTTTTTAATTAAAAGGTAACGAAACCAAGGAATGTTAATAAGATATGCTCTCTGTTTTGTCACTTACAGGAATGGGCACCTACATTGCACTGCACAGAATCACATGTGCTGAGAAAGTTTTAAAAAGAAGCCAACTTACAACAGATTTTTTTCATACCCTAGTGATGTATTCTGAACAAATGCTTTATAGTTACAAAAAGAGAATGAATGACTCAAAAGATCTTTCTAGATCTTGTAATCTTAAATATATTGCTTACAAAGAGAAGATGACATGTGTTATTTCTTCAGCTTTCCCCTAAAGTGTAAGACCTTTCAGAAGGGCATTTGCAATGCTTGTCATATTTTTTCATATACATCTTATTGGCCTGACATGTCTCGAGAACCATGAGAACACAGATGTCATTGCATTCAGACAACACTAATTACTCTGGGATTTTTGCAGCCTCAGTGCCTGCATGTAACTGTCGATTATGATTGTTCATGCAGCCTACAGTGGGGACACTTTACACACGAAAATAGTGAGATGCAAAAATAGTGAGACAGGCCTTTTAGCCCCCTATTGTTCTCCAAAAGAACTTGGAAGGAAAAAAAAATTCCCGACACATCAATTTCATTCAGTATTTTATATTTGAACTAAGTTTTGGCAACATTTTCTTTTCTGAAGTAAGTGTATTATGCTTTAGTGTTCAGTGAAATCTATTATCCATCTGTTCTTTAACCTTCTTGAACCATCTTTTACATTACTTTGTCTTCAGGCTTCATGGGAAATTTCTTTATGTAGCTTATAGTTTGAGAGAAACACTAATTGTGGTATGAGTCTTTTGAAAGTGACAGTGCAAAACAATAAATATGTATGATGTTTTCTTCTGGTGTGCGATTTAATGTTTAATGAGAAGCTGCAGCAAATATGGTTAGTCTCAATTTAGATAAGTGCAATCATCTTATGCTTTTTAACACAGGTCAGTTCTTTTCTTTGTTTAATTTTCTCTGTGGTATTCTGGATTTCAGTTTATGATTCATGGTATTTAGGTGGTAGAAATTTCAGAGGTCAAATGGTGGTCAGATCTGGGCCCTCACTATTAAATGTGAAGACCAAATACATGTTTTGATAAAAAGCATAATCTCTGTTAATTACCGACTGGAAAATAAAAAGCTCCAATAATGTAACTTCATATGCTGATGAAGCAGAATTGAGGCAGCTTGATCAAAGATGTACGATGAGATAAAACTGCAGTCTCTGCTGTACAGTTATAGTAGTTATGACTAATGAACCGTCCAGTCTGGATGAAATGGCAAGCCCACAGGGACTGTGTCCAATCAGTTGTGACTTACGCAAGCTGAACAAATCATTGATGGGACTCCAGATTCAGAAGTATACTCTTTATTATTAACACAGCTTTTGTTTGGACAATGTAAAGCAATAGAAAGTTATTTACATTTTTAAAATCTAGAATATAATTTTCCTTGTTTCATATATTTATTTAAAGTTAAACACACATTGTGACCTCTGCTTTACCTCTTGTTCCTTAAACACACTTAGGTCACTAATCTAACACAATTCTGCGACTACCTGTTTGTCCTTCTATTGTGTTACATCTGAAGGCTCTTTAGAGCCATTTTCTTTTGTCACGGTATTTTTTTCTCCAAGCAGATGTTGGAAAGATGCATCTACAATGATAATAGCACATATGAAACATTTACTGTGTGGCAAACAATGTTTTAAGTGTTTTACCTGTATTAACTCTTACATTTTTACAGCAAGCCCTTGAGGTAGGTATTGTCACCATTTTGCTGATGAAGAAACTGAGGCATGGGAAGGTTGGGTCTCTTGCTCAAGGTTACATGCTTTTATAAATCTTGGATTGCCTGGTAAAAGTTAGTTATAGTTTTATAGTCTTCTGAACCAAATCTACTTATAAGTTATCCCTTTTTTCAACCAGGGTTAATTTTTCATTGTTGTTTTCTGGCATCTGACAAAATTGTAAGGCATTTTAAAACCGAATGCTCATGTGCAGTTCCAGAATACTAGTTTAAGTGAGTAGAGCTTTGAGGATGGAGTTTTAGAATGCTTTTGATATGAATATATATCTAAAATGTAATAAATGTGTTAATTTGATATAATCTTGAAACTCTAAAATCTTTAAGTTGTAATAAGAAAACAGTCTACCTACTTAAAAGAAAATGAAGTGCAGGTGCAGTGCTGATAAAATAATCTTGGTTAGTTTTCTTTGGGATTATTTACACTAAAGTTTTTCTCTTCAAACCAGGTATAGTCCTCATCTTAATGTTTCCTTATTACCACCACTTACGTGCTGCCTGCTAGACAGTGGAGATTCAATAAATATTTATAGAAAGAAGGAGGGAATAAAAGAAGGGAAAATTGTCAGTGGTTTAATAATTAAATGATTTCATTAAATACATGCTTTATTCTAGTTCCCTTGGCAGGTTTTTACTTAGAGGAATAGAATAAAACACTGTCATCATGCCATAGTGCTTTAAAATCCTTAAAGTCCTACCTATTCAACTTTGTTTCACATTGGCCCCCAATCTGAAGTCTTTGTCTTTCCAGGCTAGCTTTCTTACATCTATCATTGGATGCCACACAGAGAGCTCTCTCTGATTTATTTTTTTTGTTTGTTTTTTAAATTTAATATTATTGTTTATTTATTTATTGTAGAGACGGGGTCTCACTATGTTGACTAGACTGGTCTTGAAATCCTGGACTCAAGCAGTCCTCCTGCCTCAGCCTTCCAAAGGTCTGGGATTACAGGCGTGAGCCACAGTGCCCGGGCAAGTGCTCTCTTTGAACTGATGCTTCAGTTACCGTTGATCTTAAACACTCTAATATATCGTTGTTTTTGTTCTTTCCTCTTATTATCCATGTATTCCTCTCCCTTTGTTAACCTACCAATGTGAAAAGTTATTGGAAGGCAGATATCAAGTTATTTACTTGGTAGCACCACATGCCTAGGTAAATAGTACATGCTAAATAAATCCTTATAGAGTGATAAATTTGATACCCTTCTTTTTCCAACAGATTTCTATCAGCAAGTTCAAATTTACAGTATGACATTTCTAGAGATGTGAAAGTCTTGCAAAACTCAATTGAAATGAGATGATAAGAATAACACACCACTTTATTGAACTCTTATTCTGTGCCAACCACTATGCTAAGCACTTTAATTGTCATAATCCTCTCAACAAATCTATAATGACTTATATTCTATTATTATCCCTATCTGTATAGAAACCTTGCTAGAGCTCAGAAGCAGTAAAGCATAATTTGTGAAGATGTTGGCAGTTTATTTTAAAGCCATCAGATTTTTACTGGTATCCCATCAGTGCCATTGTCCTTTTTTTAATGCCCTGTCTGCAGTTGTCCATGACAGTTTCTTAAGTAAGTTTTGCCTTCCCACAACTTAAATAGTGTCCGTTATATCACCTACCTTTTTCTTTACACTTTTTCTTGTTTTCACAAGAAGCTCCAAAGCTTTCCTTTTTCCCATTAATTTTCAAAAGAGCATCTTGTTATCCTACTCTGAAATGTTGCGACATGATCAGATAATATATAGAGATCTGGAAATCTCTGGCTCACGTTTTTTATTTTTTAAATACATGGAGGGCCAAGTAGCAGTTGTTATTATCATTTTAGGTAAGTTTTAATAAAATGATTGCAGTCTAAACAATGTTATATAGTCAGGAAATTTCCAAAATAATTTGTAGCAAATCACATGAAAAATACTTGAAACTTAAATTTTGTTTTAAAGTGATTGGTAGTTATATCCATGCTGTTCATAAAAGATGGAAATGAAGTTAATAAAATGCTGCATATTTTATACTTAGGAAATATTGTGGCTTATAATGAGTCTTTATACAAAACTGAAACCACTGTTATCAAAGAGGAAGCAGTTTACCAAATATATTAAGCTCTCAGAAATAAACTGACATCAATTTCAATTTCTGATTTGATTTCAGCTTTTATACGGAAGATGATGGCATTCTATTTCATAAGTGCTGAAGTACTTTCTGTGTATTTTTAAAAGTTGTATCTGTATATTTTGATTGTGAGTATTTAAATAACTAAATACAGTCAAAGTATACAGATAAAGGTCAATTAATATTTAGCTAAAATTTTTGTGATGGTCATTATTACTATTTGTATTAGTGAAATACATTTTAATGTGAAGTTAGTATCAGTTACTTGATCTTCTTTTAACTTTTAAGATTAAAATTAAAGTATAGCTTTTCCTAAATAGTTTAATTGGAAATCTATAATTAAAAGAAAGTCTGCTACAGTCCTAAAACAAGTTGTTATTTTGAAATCAGTCTTTATTTTATATTTTACTTTATTAAATCCTATTTTATTCATTCATGAATTATCTTATATCCTTGATTCAGATACAATCCAGATATAATTTAATCTTCAGAGGTCATGAAAGTATCATGTGAGTTTTTCTTTGTAGATTTCTTAAAGGAGAATTGAAATGGTAGATTTATGTAGTAATAAAATTAGTTATACTTAAAGTATTTCAAAAGATAAAAGCACAAGGTTATTTCCATGCTATGATTTTTAAACTTTTATTTTTATTTTTTTAGAGACATGATCTTACTCTGTCTCTCAGGCTGGAGCCCAGTAGCAAGCTATAGTAACCTTGAACTCCAGGGTTGAAGCAATCTTTCTGCTTCAGCCTCTCAAGTAGCTAGAACTACAGGCATGTACCACCATGCCTGACTACATTTTTTTTTTTTTTGTAGAGACAGGATCTTGCCGTGTTGCCCAGGCTGGTCTTGAACTCCTGGGTTTAAGTGATCCTCTTATCTTCGCTTCCCCAGATGCTGGGATTACAGGTGTGAGCCACTGGGCTTGGCCTCTATGCTATGATTTTACATATGTTAAACTTATATTAATGAAGAAAGACTTGAAATGAATAAGCAAACTAAATTAAAGTATGTGAATAGTAGTTAGCTTTTAGGGGTTTAATTTTCTTAATTGGTGTCTTTATTCAGTAAATTTAAACATACATACATATAAATGTATTTCACACTATAAAATATTTTAGAATAACTCTTAGGTGGTATAGCTTTTCCACATTTTATTAAGTGTTTTATGTGTTAAAGAAGTAAGTCAGGATTCCATTGTGTGCAGCTTGTACTTTGCCATGGAAATTGTCAGCTGAAATTGCCAGGAGAGTTGTTATGTTAAATCTCTATATTTAAAATGTATACTAATTATATATGTAAAATCTATTCTACAATGTTGTGTATGATCAATATAAAACATAGATTTTATTTTTTTTACATTTTTTATTTTATTTTTAGTTCTAGGATACATATGCAGAATGTGCAGGTTTGTTACATGGGTTTACATGTGCCATGGTGGTTTGCAGCACCCATCAACCCATCACCTAGGTTTTAAGCCCCACATGCATTAGGTATTTGTCCTCATACTCTTCCTCCCCTTCCCCCCATGGCCCAACAGGCCCCGGTGTGTGTTGTTCCCTTCCCTGTGTCCATGTGTTCTCATAGTTCAATTCCCACTTATTAGTGAGAACATGTGGTGTTGGTTCCTGTGTTTGCTGAGGATGATGGCTTCCAGTTTCATCCATGTCCTGGCAAAAGACATGAACTCATTCTTTTTTGTGGCTGCATAATATTCCATGGTGTATATGTACCACATTTCTTCATCTAGTCTGTCATTGATGGGCATTTGGGTTGGTTCCATGTCTTTGCTATTGTACATAGCTACAATAAACATACATGTGCATGTGTCTTTATAGTAGAATGATTTATCCAGTAACGGGATTGCTGGGTCAAATTCCTAGTTCTAGATCCTTGAGGAATCACCACACTGTCTTCCCCAGTGGTTGAACTAATTTACATTCCCACCAACGATGTAAAAGCATTCTTTTTTTCTCCATAGCTTCGCCAGCATCTGTTGTTTCCTGACTTTTTAATGATCGCCATTCTGACTGGCATGAGATAGTATCTCATTGTGGTTTTGATTTGCATTTCTCTAGTGATCAGTGATGAACTTCTTTTCATATGTTTGTTAGCCACATACATATCTTCTTTTGAGAAGTGTCTGTTCATATCCTTTGCCCACTTTTTGATGGGGTTGTTTTTTTCTCGTAAATTTGTTTAAGTTCTTTGTAGATTCTGGATATTAGCCCTTTGTTAGATGGGTAGATTGCAAACATTTTCCCCCATTCTGTAGGTTGCCTGTTCACTCTGATGGTAGTTTCTTTTGCTGTGCAGAAGCTCTTTAGTTTAATTAGATCCCATTTGTCTATTTTGGCTTTGTTGTCATTGCTTTTGGTGTTTTAGTCATGAAGTCCTTGCCCATGCCTGTGTCCTGAATGGTATTGCCTAGGTTTTCTTCTAGGGTTTTTATGGTTTTAGGTCTAACATTTACATCTTTAATCCATCTTGAATTAATTTTTGTATGAGGGATAAGGAAGGGATCCAGTTTCAGCTTTCTACTTATGGCTAGCCAGTTTTCCCAGCACCATTTATTAAATAGGGAATCCTTTCCCCATTTCTTGTTTTTGTCAGGTTTGTCAAAGATGAGATGGTTGTAGATGTGCGGTGTTATTTCTGAGGCCTCTGTTCTGTTCCATTGGTCTTATATATCTGTTTTGGTACCAGTACCATGCTGTTTTGGTTACGGTAGCCTTTTAGTATAGTTTGAAGTCAGGTAGCATGATGCCTCCAGCTTTGTTCTTTTTGCTTAGGATTGTCTTGGCTATATGGGCTCTTTTTTGGTTCCATATGAACTTTAAAGTACTTTTTTTCTAACTCTGTGAAGAAAGTCATTGGTAGCTTGATGGGGATGGCATTGAATCTATAAACTACCTTGGGCAGTATGACCATTTTCACGATATTGATTCTTCCTATCCATGAGCATGGAATGTTCTTCCATTTGTTTGTGTCCTCCTTTATTTCACTGAACAGTGATTTGTACTTCTCCTTGAGGAGGTTCTTCACATCCCTTGTGAGTTGGCTTCCTAGGTATTTTATTCTCTTTGTTGCAATTGTGAATGGGAGTTCTCTCATGATTTGGCTCTCTGTTTGTCTGTTATTGGTATATAGGAATTCTTGTGATTTTTGCACATTGATTTCGTATCCTGAGACTTTGCTGAAGTTGGTTATCAGCTTAAGGAGTTTTTGGGCTGATATGATGGGGTTTTCTACATATACAATCATGTCGTCTGCAAACAGAGACAATTTGACTTTCTCTCTTCCTATTCGAATACGCTTTATTTCTTTCTCTTGCCTGATTGCCCTGGCCAGAACTTTGAATACTATGTCGAATAGAAGTGGTGAGAGAGGGCCACTCAAAGGGAATGCTTCCAGCTTTTGTCCATTCAGTATGATATTGGCTATGGGTTTGTCATGAATAGCTTTTATTATTTTGAGATGTTCCATCAATACCTAGTTTATTGAGAGTTTTTAACATGAAGGGATGTTTGAATTTTATCGAAGGCCTTTTCTTCATCTATTGAGATAATCATATAGTTTTTGTCATTGGTTCTTTTTATGTGATAGATTACATTTATTGATTTGTGTAAAAACATAGATTTTAAAGAGAGTCTAACACTATAATATTTCAGCCTTGTGATTATGTGATGCTAATACTAGTAAGTCTTATTGTTAGATTGCAAGGGTCTGTGTACCTAGGCTCATATACAAATTTGTCATAAGGTTAAAAAAAATTATTTCAACCAGGTGTGGTGGCTTATTTCTGTAATCCCAGCACTTTTAGAGGCTGAGTTGGTATAATCACTTGAGCCCTGAGTAACCCAGTCTGGGTAATGCAGTAAGACTCCATTTCTACAAAATATTTTAAAAATTAGCTGGGTGTGGTAGTGTGTGCCTGTAGTCCCAGCTACTTGAGAGGCTGAGATAAGAGGATTGCTGGAGCCCAGGAGTTCAAGGCTGCAGTGAGCTATGATCATCCCACTGCATTCCAGCCTGGTCAACAGAGCAAGACCCCTATTAAAAAAAAAATTATTTCAAAGCAAACTTAATTGTGGGCATGAGAGAAATGAAAATGAGTAAGACATAATTTTGTCGTCTAATAACTCTCAGTGTAATGTTTCTACTATTTAAATATTTGAAGGCCTTTAATGTCTTGAATGCAGATAAATTTTTAGAAAATATATTATGGATTAAATATGTATTATTTCTTCTGTTACTTTATGTAACTTAAGTTTGTTTGCTTAGTTCTCTCTTCTTCCTATAATTTGCATACCAGGAGGTTAAGACCTTACTTTCTCCTCTGTCCTCTAAACATTTACTGAGAACATACATACATAGCAGGGTGTGGGAGGATGCCTATGTATAGAGAAAATGAATATGTACTTACATTGCCATTATCATAGTTGCCCATAGCAATGAGAGTATACTTGTAACTACGCTATCATTATTCCTGCTGCTGTCCCATTACATTTTGCAGATAGGCTGAATATATATGTATGTATGTATATCCTTCTAAAGAAAAATTTAATGCTTATTGCAAATAGAGGGAGAAATATCCCTGGAAAGCAACCGGTGAATACTCAGCAACAATGGAAAGAGCTGAGGTGCACAGAATATTATATGTTGATTGGTAGATTTGTAGACAAGGGTAAAAGGCATTGAATAGCCTCATGTATTTAAGGACAGTCTTCTGCTAGAGCCAAGAAGCTCAGGAGATACTGTGTGAGCAAATATAAAATAATTGAAGGAGAGGCTAAGGGGGAAAGAGAATAGTGGACATCTAGGGTAGTCAGTGGTGCTGAGGGTAGAGAGAGCACAGCCATTCACAGTAGATGAAGGGTAGTAATAGATAATAGATAGAACATCTCTGTTATCAAAAGATTACATGAAAACTATATTATATTCTAAAGCATAGATGTGGGAATCTATATATGCTTGGAGGTAGGGATTGGTAGGGTGTTGTTTAGTACAGGAATTGATTCCTGCAATGATTTGCTACAGGAAGTTTTAAGATCAAATTATATTTATTACACTTTTTGTAAGAGAAAAGAAAATAGAATATATATTAATTTTCTGTTGCTGCTATAACAAATTTCCACAAAAGTAATGGCTTTATGCAGGCCTCACAGAAGTAAAATCAAGGTGTTGGCAGGACTGCATTCTCTTCTAGAGCGTCTAGGGGAGAATTCGTTTCCTTACCTTTTCCAACTTCTAGATGTTTTCCATGGTCCTTGGCTTGTGGCTTCCTTCCTTAATTCAGCAAAGTCAGTAAGGACAGATTGAGTGCTTATATTGCATCACTCTGACTTAATCTGCCACCCTCTTGTACTTTAAGGTACTCTTGTAATTACACTGGACTCACCCAGATAATCCAGGTTAATCTCTCTGTTATAATGTTAGCTGATTAGCAACCTTATTCCATTTGCAACTGTAATTCCTCTTTGCCTTTTATGGTATTAATAACATATTCATGAATTCCAGGGAATAGAATGTGGACATCTTTGGGAGGGAGCATCATTCTGCATACCACACTATACCTTTGTGGTTTAGAAGGAATACAGTGTTACTAGCCCTTCAGTTATTTAGAAAAAGTTCTCATTTGGAATAGCTCATCTTCATGGATTTTAGAATAACACAGTTTTGTCATATTAAGAACAGATTTAAATTAGTATTTATCATATTAATAAATATATTATTGGTAGGTTTATAATATAAGCATGTAATAAAACTTGTGACAATAATGTTCTCAGAAAGAATTATGTTTTGGTAAATTTTAGTAGAGAATTACTGTTTATAAATTGTTACTGTAGTTTCAGCTAGCATTTACTGATAGTAACCTTTTTCTTTTTTTTGAGATGGAGTTTCGCTCTTGTTGCCCAGGCTGGAGTGCAATGGTGTGATCTTGGCTCACCGCAACCTCCACTTCTGGGTTCAAGTGATTCTCCTGCCTCAGCCTGCCGAGTGGCTGGGATTACAGACATGTGCCACCATGCCCGACTAATTTTGTATTTTTAGTAGAGACGGGGTTTCTCCATGTTGGTCAGCCTGGTCTTGAACTCCCAACTTCAGGTGATCTGCCCGCCTCGGCCTCTCAAAGTGCTGAGATTACAGGCATGAGCCACTGTGCCCGGCCGATAGTAACGCTTTTAATTGCCAATGATTTGAATTATAAATATGGACCTATATGCTGTTCTACTAAGTATCAGTTAGGAGTTCATAATGATTGAACTACAGAAACCCTTTAAACAAGAGGCCAAATTTGTATTTGTATATACCCTATGAATGATTCGCCAGTGGTATTAATCAAAGTATAGTTAGAGGTCAGTTTCCAAATTGTCCAGTTAGCTTTAGAGTCTTCCAAAGACATCCTTCATTTAGTTTTTGGTCACAGAGGACATCACAGGATAGAATAACTGCTTCTGGAAAACATTTTAAAGCCCATATTTCACTAATGTTGGCTCAGTCTCATCACATGCTTATCACATTTATTATATAAGAAACAAGGATCACATGTTTTTTAAAAACAGATTTACCTGCCATTAATATTTAGCCTCATTTATCATTCGTGCTCTCTCTGACATTGTCTCTCTCTATACATACATAATGTATGTTATTAGTAAATACACCCACACATACATACAAGTGTATATAATACACACACCACTTTTTTTCTGAGCCATTTGTACACATTATACTCCTTTCCCCCTGAATACTTCAGTGTGTATTTCCTAAGAATAAGAATGTTATCTTATTTATATAACTATAATAGTAATCAAATTTATGAAATTTGCTTTGAGATAATACTTTAACCTGCCATCCATACTTGAGTTTCATCGATGGACGAAATAATGTCCCTTATTTTATATAAATATATATATTTATATATATATTTATATAGATATATATATATTTATATTTATATATTATATATAATTATATATAATTATATATAATTATATATAATTATATATTATATATAATTATATATTATTATATATATTATATTTTATATTATTATATATTATTATATATAACATATTATAATTATATATAATATAATATAATATATATAATCTATAATGTTATATATATTATATATTATATTATATATTATATAATCTATAATATTATATAATATATAATATATAATATAATATATTATATAATATATATATTATAATTATATATTATATTATATAAATATATATTATAAAATAATACAATATATAAATATACATTATATATTATAAATATTTATATATTTATATATTTATATAAATATATATATTTATCTTATATATAATGTATATATATTTTTTTGAGATGGAGTCTCACTGCAACCTCCACCTCCCGGGTTCAAGCGATTCTCCTGCCTCAACCTCCTGAGTAGCTGGGACTACCAGCATGCACCACCACACCCAGCTAATTTTTGTATTTTTAGTAGAGACGGGGTTTCACCATGTTGGCCAGGATGGTCTCAATCTCTTGACCTCATGATCCACCCGCCTTGGCCTCCCAACGTGCTGGGATTACAGGCATGAGCCACCATGCCCTGCCAATATTTTTAACTTCTAGTAGATAATCTAGTTTAGAATTAGATATTTCTTTAGTCTGACTAAATCTGAAACAATTCTTCAGGCTATCTTTGTCTTTCTTGACATTGCCAATTTTGAAGAATGTAGTTCTCTCCTTTTTTTAACAGAATAGTCTTCATTTGGATTTGTGCGATGTTTCCTTATGATTGGATTCAGGTTATACGTCTAGTTGTTATACTATGTAAGTGATATGTCTGTCTGAGAGTTTCACTTACAGAGGCACAGGATGTCTACCTGCCCTTCAATGGTGATATTTTGATCAGCCAGTCAGTATGTTGTCTGATATTGCTAGTCTATGTATTATTTTTTCCTTTGTAATTATTAAGCAGCCTTTAATGATACCATGCGAATATCCTGCTTCTCATCAAAATTGCCTCCCTGAAGGCTAGAATAAATCATGTGGTACTAGATTAGAGTCAGAGTCTTAAATCATATTTAGCTTAATATAAATACAAATGGATACATAGAAAAATAAAGAATAGGTGTGTATACATGGATTGGTATATATGCATACATTTATTAGCTTTGTTCACCAGGGTGTCTAGAAGTAATGACACTCCAGTAGCAATGAGAATACTCAATGCCCAGGTCTTAGTTTCTAATACCATGCTCCAATAAAAGGAACCCAGGACTCCCCAGAGAAATGGTTGAATCTGTTGCTGAGGCCAACACTACACAAGATGAGCCTGGAGCATATTATAGTGCCAGAACATACATAAGTGTCCGAAGAATAGAATAATGGGATTAGGTCAAAGGGACACAAGAGCCAAATGAAAGAGCTCTCAATAGTCAAAGTCAAAATAATTTGAACAACAAAATAAATAACTTAGTTTTGGTTTATAACCTAAAGTATGAAGTAAATAGGAGTCCATACTGAAATAAATAGCTAAATAAATTAGTAGGGGAGAGAAGAGTTAAATCTCCCTTATAGAAGGAGTCTAAATAATTTATGTAGATACTCCCCCCAAAAGAAATGGACCATTACTCCCCACCTGCTAAGTGTGGGCTCTGCTTAGTGGCTTGCTTCCAAAGAGTGCAATATGGGGCCGGGCGCTGTGGCTCATGTCTGTAATTCTAGCACTTTGGGAGGCCAAGGCAGGTGGATCATTTGAGGTTAGGAGTTGGAGACCAGCCTGGCCAATGTGGCAAAAACCCATCTCTACTAAAAATAACAAAAATTAGCTGGTTATGGTGGTATGTGCCTGTAATTCCAGCTACTCAGGGTGCTGAGACATGAGAATCACTTGAACCTGGGAGGTGGAGGTTGCAGTGAGCCAAGATTGCGCCACTACACTCCAGCCTGGGTGACAGAGTGAGACTGTCTCAAAACAAACAAAAAAACAAAGGGTACAGTATGGAACAGAGCAGCAGGAAATAACTAAAATAACTATACAGTGGAAACCCCTGAGAAATGCTACTTCAACCAGGTAATTAAGGCTAATATCAGTGACAAAACACGTTGATAGCATGTAGCTATGATATGATATGATGTGATGCGGATGGCACTATACCTCTGTGGACTTCCTTCCTAAAACCTGTAACCCCATTCTAACCATGAGAACATCAGACAAATCCAAATTGAGGGGAATTCTACAAATGCCCTGGTCAGTACTCTTTAAAGCTGTCAAAGGTCATCAAAACCACGAAAAGTCTTAAAAACCATTAAAATCCAGAGAAGCCTAAGGAGACATCAAGACTAAATATAATGTGGTGTCTTGGATGGGATCTTGGGACAAGAAAAAAAAAAAAAAGCTTGAGAGAAAAACTGATGAAATCTGAATGAAATATGGAGTCCGCTTAACAGTTCTTCCCTGTATTAATCTCTACAGTGATGATGGTTATAAAATGATTATTTTCCCATATCGCGTCTTCTTCCATCTTTATCAGTTGACATTATGCCTTAACTTTATACACTTCTGCATTCCCCATGTATTTATCCATCTATTATTGCTATGGACTCATGAATTTTTCTTATTTTCAATGGTTAATAATTCACTGGTGGTCATAATTACTTTAATGCTCAAATTCTTCCAGATTGGGCCAGTGGGAAGCCTTTCAAGCTTGTTCTTATGTTTTTTTTACTTACCCCTTCATTTTCTTGAGCACTTTCTGACTTTCTGACATGGCAAGAGGCTCAAGGCTCATCTTGTAGCTTCCCTTCTGCAGCTCTAGAATCAGCTATTACTTTGGAGAGCCTTAATTCTTTTCAGTGAAGAATGCTATTAGAAACCAAGATGTGGGTACCGGGTGAAACACAGCACATAACAAACGTCCTTTTAATTATCTTTCTTTGGTAATTGTGGCAGCCCTATTTTTGCGACATCTTGTTATTCAGCTACATATTTTTAAAAAGGTTGCATTTTCCTTGTAGGCCTTGTTTTGATTGCAGATTTTGCTGTCACATTGATATTAAAACATTGCAAGACATTTAGGAAGAAGTATCCAATTTATACACCACAACATTTGTAAATTTAATGACAAATTGCATTTGTGCATGCATAAAGATGTCTTTTCAAAATCCAAACTATATAATATGTCAATCTGCATTTTCACAGTATTTGTATAATTTATAAGTAATATTATGCTTATTTCATAGGGAAAATTGTAATGTTAGAAGGTTCACATTTAATGCAGAAGCAATCAATGAGCTTTTAAGTAAAGAGATTGGAGTTATGGCACTAAAATAAATAAGTAAATAGGCTAATAAGGTATTCACATTCTGTGTAACTATGTATATAATTATTCATTTCACAAACACTTTTGATTATCTGCCAGTATGCCAACTATGTAGGATGCTGAGATTACAGCAATAAGTAAGAATAGCTCTGATTTGGTTCCTCGTAGAGCTTTAGACATTAACCATATAATCAAATGTTTGAATATATTAAACTTCAAACATAGTTGCTGTTTAAAATATGATTTGTTTTCAAACAAAAATGTTTTTGATTACCATCCATCAGATAGTTTTTAAATTTAGTTTTTTGAATATTTAGAACAAATGTATAAAAATAAGTGTTAACTGTATTAAAAGCTATTGGAGAGCATGTTTATTTGGCTTCTCCATATTCATTTTTCAGGTCCCATAAAATTTTTATTTTATTTATTTTTTATATATTTTGCTAGAATATTTTTAGATTCTAGGCTGAGCACAGTGGCTCATACCTGTAGTCCCAGCACTTTGGGAGATTGAGGCATGAGGATCTCTTGAACCCAAGAATTAGTGACCATCCCAGACAACATAACAGTATCTCATCTCTATAAAAAATGAACAGAATTAACCAGGCATAGTGGTGTGCTCCTGCTGTGTAGCTACTTGGGCTACTGACTTGGGAGGATTGGCTGGACCCAGGAGATTAAGGCTGCAGTGAGCCGCGATTGCACCACTGCACACCAGCCTGGGTGACAAAGGAAGACCCTGTCTCAAAAAAAGAGAATATTTTTAGATTCTATTTGTTTGTGTGTGTGTGTGTGTGTGTGTGTGTGTGTTTTTATAAGACAGAGTCTCACTCTGTTACCCAGGCTGGAGTGCAGTGGTGCGATCTTGGCTCACTGCAAGCTCTGCCTGCTGGGTTCAAGTGATTCTCCTGCCTTAGCCTCCCAAGTAGCTGAGACTACAGGCGTGCGCCACCATGCCCAGCTAATTTTTTTGTATTTTTAGTAGAGATGGCGTTTCACCATGTTGGCCAGGATGGTCTCGATCTCTTGACCTTGTGATCCGCCCACCTTGGCCTCCCAAAGTGCTGGGATTACAGGCGTGCACCCAGCCAATTCTGTTTGTATTGTAAGATATAATTGTTTTTAATTCTTTATACTTGATGAGCTAGCATAGTAGTGTCGTTTATGAATATAGATTAGCTGCAAGTATGCTGTCTTTACTAAAACTTGATTGTAGATTTGAATTGTTATGGGTTGAACAGAATAGTCTTAAGGTCTACTGTGTTTTAAGTAAATAGTAGAATATACAATTTGAGGATAGGTAGTAGCATTGTAGTATTATATGTGTGTGGGTGATAGCATTTCTTTATACAATTAAACAACTGAAGTGTTCACCACAAGACCTAGAGTTGATGGAAAGAATTGATATTGGAGTCACCTGTTTTCAGATTCCTTCCTCCCCTTGTTTAAAGAGTAACCCTAGATATTTTAAGGGCCTTTGAATCTTATTTTCTATAAATATTACTGCTAAAGGTACATATTGAAACAGATTTATAGTAGTTATCTAACCCTTACAACTATCGTATCCTTCCTTCCCCCAGCTTTTTGTTGTTGATTTCTGTATCTCTAGGCTTTCCAAAAAATACTTATTTTTTGAATGAATGAATATGTAACTATTTTCCTTAAACACTGAGTTTAATGTAACAAAAGGCTGTTTTGTTTGCCATCCTAATGAGTTTTTTATAAGTGGCATAGAACATCATTAAGAAGGATTAGTAATACCTTATACTAAAGATAACATTCCTGAAAAGCCTCCTTGGTAATAGAATGTTTTGTTGAAGAATTTAAGATTATTTTGGAAAAAGTAAGCAGAAATGAGGTCAGAAAGGAGTCTATAAAAGCCCTTTTGATTATTATTATATTTACTAATATATATTGATGAAGCTTGTAAAATAAAGAAATATTAGCATCTTTCTATACTTTAGTTGTGATTGATTCTTTATTGTCAATTTTCATTTATCATTCTTTTACTAAAAACATTTTAGGGTTTCTCTTCACTGTGCTTTCATCACTGTGCTATAATTTTATTTCTTCTTACAGATAATAAGCAAAATAACAGATATTCCTTATGGCCTAATTCTCTAGCAGATTATTACATTTTGGTTTCTGATTTCTGTCCTGGCTTAGTAACTCTTGTCTCTCTGATCCTACTTCCTGGTTTTACCTTCTTGCTCCAGCGCAGTATCCAACATGTAAAGTAAATTGGCTCTTTGAAATTAAGGGGAAGAAAGGAAGGGTGATTTTTGAGGGACTCTGTTTAATTTAACTATCTTACCCCTCTTTCCCCTGTGAAAGTTACAGATATGGGGATGAAATCAATTTTGTCAGACCCTGGCAAAATTGGTACAGGAAGGCAGAAAGGAGAGGAGGCTCTTGCTTATATATCTGAGATAAGAATGATTTCCAAGGACTTTCTAGAAATCCCACAAGAAACTCCTTCATGTCCTGCATGTATCTCCTGCTTTAGCAAGGTTTCTCACTAGTTTTGGCAAGGTTTATCACTAGACATCCTTTAGAACTATAGCAATTCAGAGAAGATGCTCTTAAATGAACCCTTGACCAGTAATAGCAGCTTCACCAATGAACTGATGATAACTCTGACTTTAAGCCTCTGGAACCAGTGAACTCTGTTTCTAAGTAGTTTACTTGAATCTCTTTGGGCTAATAAAAGCTTCCCTTTACCCTTCTCTCACCAGATGCACCGGTGGCTTGCCATTCTATGTCATAATCCTCATTTGTCATTCCCAAACAAACTCAACATATTTGGAGACAAATTTCTCTAGTGTCTATTTTTAGGTTGACACAATCTGGTGTCAGAAGTGGGATTTGACTCCTTCTACCCCCCATCTGTCTGTGTGTAATTGTACAGGATATGGTTATTGGTATGAAAAGTATGATATTCTTAACTTTCTGACTTGACAATTTTTTGGATCTTGGCATAAATTGTATTTTTGTATTCTGTCTTCTAAGGCAAGGGTTCCCAACCCAGTTTCCCTGTTAGGAACTGGGCTGCACAGCAGGAGAGGAGTGCCAGGTGAGGGAGTGTTATTTTTTTTTTCTTTTTGTACTTTAAGTTCTAGGGTACATGTGCACAACATGCAGGTTTGTTACATATGTACACATGTGCCATGTTGGTGTGCTGCACCCAGTAACTCGTCATTTACATTAGGTATATCTCCTAATGCTATCCCTCTCCCTTCCCCCCACCCCACGACAGGCCCTGGTGTGTGATGTTCCCCTCCCTGTGTCCAAGTGTTCTCATTGTTCAATTCCCACCTATGAGTGAGAACATGCAGTGTTTGGTTTTCTGTCCTTGCGATAGTTTGCTGAGAATGATGGTTTCCAGCTTCATCCATGTCCCTACAAATGACATGAACTCATCCTTTTTTATGACTGCATAATATTCCATAGTGTATATGTGCCACATTTTCTTTTTTTTCTTTTTTTCTTTTTTTTTTTGAGACAGAGCCTCGCTCTGTCGCCCAGGCTGGAGTGCAGTGGCATGATCTCGGCTCACTGCAAGCTCCGTTTCCCGGGTTCATGCCATTCTCCTGCCTCAGCCTCCCAAGTAGCTGAGACTACAGGCGCCTGCCACCATGCCAGGCTATTTTTTTGTATTTTTAGTAGAGACGGGGTTTCACCGTGCTATCCAGGATGGTCTCGATCTCCTGACCTCGTGATCTGCCCGCCTCAGCCTCCCAAAGTGCTGGGATTACAGGCTTGAGCCACCATGCCCAGCTGCCACATTTTTTTAATCCAGTCTATCATTGATGGACATTTGGGTTGGTTCCAAGTCTTTACTATTGTGAGTAGTGCCGCAGTAAACATACGTGTGCATGTGTCTTTATATCAGCATGATTTATAATCCTTTGGTTATATACCCAGTAATGGGATGGCTGGGTCAAATGGTATTTCTAGTTCTAGATCCTTGAGGAATCACCACCCTGTCTTCCACAGTGGTTGAACTAGTTCACACTCCCACCAACAGTGTAAAAGTGTTCCTGTTTCTCCACATCCTCTCCAACACCTGTTGTTTCCTGACTTTTTAATGATTGCCATTCTAACTGGTGTGAGATGGTATCTCATTGTGGTTTTGATTTGCATTTCCCTGATGGCCAGTGATGGTGAGCATTTTTTCATGTGTCTTTTGGCTGCATAAATGTCTTCTTTTGAGAAATTGTACAAGATACACTCCTGTACAGGAGAATTGTACAGGATATGGTTATTGGTATGAAAAGTATAATATTCTTAACTTTCTGACTTGACTATTTTTTGGATCTTGGCATAAACTGTATTTTTGTATTCTGTCTTCTAAGGCAGGGGTTCCCTACCCAGTTTCCCTGTCAGGAACTGGGCCACATAGCAGGAGAGGAGTGCCAGGTGAGGGAGTATTACCACCTGAGCTCTGCCTCCTGTCAGATCAGCTGTGGCATTAGATTTTCATAGGGGTGCGAACCTTATTGTGTACTGTGCATATGAGGGAACTAGGTTGCGTGCTCCTTATGAGACTCTAATGTCAGACGATCTGAGTCGGAAGAGTTTCATCCTAAAATCATACCTCCTACCCCCCACCCCACTTTGGTCTGTGGAAAAATTGTCTTCCACGAAATCAGTTTCTGGTGCCAAAATGATTGAGGACTGCTATTCTAAAGGGTAAGTATGATGTAAGAAATTATATGTATATCCGTGTGTGTGTAAAAAATATATATACACATACATATATTTTAATAGACTTTTCTATGGGACTTAACAGTCATTTTCATTAGTGGTTTAAAATGGCTCTCTCATGTATAACTTATGAGTATCATATATTTCAATCAGGGTGTATTCCTAAGCTTTTTGCTTTTTTTTTTATTTTTTGAGACAGGGTCTTGCTCTGTCACCCAGGCTGGAGTGCAGTGACATGATCATGGCTTACTGCAGCCTTGACCTCTCTGGTTTTAGTGATCCTCCCCTGAGTAGCTGGGACTACAGGCATGTTCCACCACTCCTGGCTAATTTTTGTGTTTTTTGTAGAGACAGGATTTCACTATGTTGCCCAGGCTGGTCTCAGACTCTTGGGCTCAAGTGATCTACCTACCTCAGCCTCCCAAAATGCTAAGATTACAGGTGTGAGCCACCACTCCTGCTTTTTAGTCTTTTTTATGTAGCTGTCGTTGAATATGTTTATCCATACACAAGTTGATATATTTATATGCTAATTTACATATTCATTTCATTAGTTTTTTAATCCATTCTCTGCTGCTATTACAGAATACCAGAGACTAGTAATTTATAAAGAATAGAATTTATTTGGCTCATGCTTTTGGAGGCAGGAAATCTAAGAGCATGGTGCCAGTACCTGGTGAGAGTCATCCCAGGGCAGAAGACCAAGTGAGCATGTGAGACAGAGAGAGCAAGAGGGGTCTAAGCTCCATTCTTTTATGAGGAACTCACTCTTGTGATAATTAACACTCCCTAGCAATAATCACATTAATCCATTTATGAAGGCAGAGCCCTCATAACCCAGTCACTCCCAAAGGCCCCACCTCTCAACACTGTTAAAATGGGGATTCAGTTTCCAACACATGAACTTTGGGGGATATGGTCAAACCATAGCAGTTTGTTTTGTACCAAATATTTTATAACACAACAGAGATCCAATGTTATACAAAATTTGAGTAATCTTATATGAGGAAGCCCTGATATAATCTTTTAGTTAAAGAACTATTTTCCGTGAAATGTTAGTTGCCTCTTACTAAGCAGCAAATAGAGACCTGATGTTATTTGAGGCCTAAAAACAGTGATTTATTATGAATGAGCACACAAATGCAAGATAATTTCTAACTCATCATATTTTGGGGACAACCATTTAAAACTAAACCACTGTGTGTAGAAACTTAGCTGAAGTCATAAGGAAGCATAAGTGCAGATAGAATGTGATGAAATACATTACACTTTATTATGACATTTACATACCAGTGACTGAGATATTTATATACACACTTAGCTATTAGTAAAATGGCATCAGAGAAAAAGAATAGTTGGGTATCTTAATTTTAATGGGCTCTCAAAATAGTAAATACTCATTTGTATTCTAAATATGCTTTAATAATTAAATCATTTTTAAGATACTTGCTGTATTTTGTAATTTTCCTAGATCCATTTTTGGTTCTTTCCCTATAGTTGCTCTTTTTTAAATGTAAAATTCAATAATCCTTTAGTATGAGGTTGTTTTGGGGTGTTGTTTTAGCTACCCCTAAAGTGGAGCATGCATGTTCATGTTATCTTTAAAAATATATTTATTTAAAATACTTTAACTGACCAATTAAAGATTATTTTTGAAATCAAAATACAGTGTTTAAAGTTTTACTTTACATAAAATTTTAATATATCCATTCCACACATATTTTTAATGCCCTACTAAATATGCATGCCATTGTGCTAGGAATTTGCTAAAACTAATGAGCTAAATTTACAGAAAATGAATTCTCTGCTATATTAAAATTACCCTAAACTAGTTTGTATTTTTTTATTTACACACTATGTGTTGTATGGGTTAAAAGAGCCTAAGAGGTGTGGCCTAAGAGACTATGAAACCTATGGCCAGGATTCGTAGTTCCCTCATCTTCTTTCTCTGATAGTGCCATTTAGTACTCAACCCTGATACTCATTCCTAATACTTTCAGGAATCAGAATCTCTCCCTGGAATATTTGCTTTCTTTTCCATCTTTCCTCTAAAAAAGCTTTCTTCAGCTTCAACTGTAGTGATTTGGGACAGACAAATGGAGGTTCCCTCCAAGGTTGTTATGAAAACAAGATGAAAACTGTTCAAATAAGACTTCATACACTTTGAAAAGTATTAAAATAATTCTCAACTGATATAATACTTTATAAATAGGTAAAAGTGACAAATGAGGCTGGGTGCAGTGGCTCATGCCTGTAATCCCAGCATTTTGGGAGGCCGAGGCGGGCAGATCATGAGGTCAGGAGTTCGAGACCATCCTGGCTAACACGGTGAAACCCTGTCTCTACTAAAAATACAAAAAATTAGCCGGGCGTGGTGACGGGCACCTGTAGTCCCAGCTACTCGGGAGGCTGAGGCAGGAGAATGGTGTGAACCCGGGAGGCGGAGCTTGCAGTGAGCCGAGATAGTGCCACTGCACTGCAGCATAGGCAACAGAGCGAGACTCCATCTAAAAAAAAATAAAAAAATAAAATAAAATAAAATAAAATAAAGCAACAATTATTCTACATGACAGAATGTTAGAAAAATAGAAAAAATATACAAATAGAAATCAGTACGAACTAAAAAATGTCATATGAAACATTAAAATTTTAGTTATATTGGTAATAGGACAGAGCTACCCTATGATGACTTTAGTTTTGAAAAACAGTGGTTCTTAAAATGTTGCTTAAAAAGTATTAAATATATCTTAGAATATATTCATTAGAAGAATATAGTTATAGATTTAATACATTCAAGAAGAATATTCTTTAAATATTTACGGTTGGAACATAGGTGATTTTGATAATTTAGGCACATTTATTTTTTGGCAGATTGACTTTGGCAAATGAGCCTGCTTTCTTATACTAAACATTTATAATATAGTAATGAAAAGCTTTCACAGAGCTTATTTTCTTTGCAGCTATGTAACCTTGGACAATTTAATTGAAATTTTAAAAACTTAGCTTCCTCATTTGTGGAAAAACAGGTAATAGCAACTACCTCATACAATTGTTGAGAGAATAAAATGAGATAATTCATGTAATAGCAGTTAGCACAATGTCAGACAATTAGTAAGGGTTCAATCAATAATAAGTAGCACTTATTGAGTTGTGATACAGGTTCCAAAACAGAGGGGATACTTTGAGGGTTTTCTTAAAATTAATTGCATTTCTTAAATTTTTTTTTAAATCTGTTTTTAACAGCACCATTAGGTAAATAACTAATATTGATGTATTTTTATATTTTAATATAGACTAGTAAACTATGCAGAGTTAAGTGTTACATTAGAATCTTGAACTCTCCTAACATTTCTCTTCCTCAGTTTCCTATTGTTTTGGTAGAGTATGTAGACATTTGCGAGATTAATTTAGAGTTGGTAGATACATTCTGGATTTCATTTTACTTTAGATAGCAGGTTTGGCACTTTAAATATATTTAATTCAGTAAGAGAATAACTGAGTATGAGCTGTATCCTCATCTTACTGTTGAAGACATCCCAAATAGTTGGGTGTGCACTGTGGCGGGACAGAAGACAAAAGTACTACAGCCTAACAAAGAGTGGTTTGGGGATGTTTATGAAGAAAACAGAGAGGATAACTGATTGAGGGAAGAAGAGTGACTGCTGATTATTATGTATCTGACACTATCTGATAAGAACGAAATGTATTTTTACTTTGAAAAAAATGTTTGTATTATGGCAGTGCTTGCTGCTTTAAGGCTGCACAAATATAACGTACAGGACTTAATTGATTAAAGCATATTCTTTTGCTTTTCTCCTTACTTTACAGGGAAAATATGTATGTAGAGAAAATATAAATAAATATGTTTAAGGCATTCCATTTGTTCCCTGGCATTGTAATTCTGAGTTGAAGAAACAGCAAGTAAAAGTCATTTATAAAGCGAAAAATTATTAGTGTAAATGCATTATTTTCCTTAAAGTAAAATTATAATTTTAATTTCAGTTTTGCTATGCCATGTATTTGGAAAGTTACCTGTTTAAGGAAGCAATTCATTTGTGTCCTGGAGTTGATGAATTTAGGAGAGCCACATTTTAATCCTTGATTCCCTGAGGATTTTGTTTCACAATACCTTTCTCCTTTAAGTCTCTAAAACTACAGTCCTTTTGAGTGAATAGGGGCTATTTTATACACCACCCTGCTCCCAATCCAATTAAAGGTTCCATAATAGATGGATTAGGGAAAGTTTACTTCTTACCAGAAATAAAGCTTTAGAAAAATGGTGCCCAGATAGCAAGAGGGAATGTGAGGGAAAGCGGAGAAAATTAAGGAGATAATGGTCAGTAATCTTAACTTGTCTGATGTTTGCGCTGTCTACAATATAGCAGACTTTAAGAATAACGGGAACAATACTTCAGATTCTTTAACCATTTTGTTGCTGAAGTTTGGCTGTCTCTTCAATTTTCTTCACTTTTGCTTTTGTTATCTGCATCTTGGGCAAATATGTCTAATCCTTTACTTCAAGTGTCTGTGTGTTTTGTCGCATTTTTCTTTTTCTTTTTTCCTTTTTGTGTGGGAGTAATAGTGTTGGAAGGAGGTAAGGGGATGGAAAAGTTAATCTGTTTAACAATCTGCTTGCATAATTCTAAAAAATAACCTAATACCAATGAGTAGGTTTCAGATTTCATTTTAAGTGTGTATATTTGTGTATATGTATGTATTTTAGAAATTAAAGAAGGAACTTAAATTTTTAAATACTTTCTAAGTTTTTTGGGTGAATTTTATAAATTTTTCATTTGGCTCTAATAGACATGTTTGATGTGATTTACTTGGGTAAAATTTAAATCAACAAAGTTAAACTGTTAGAATTAAATATGTTTTGTTTACAAATAAATATTATCTGTCATAACCCATCAGTTGAGTTTTTACTTTAAATTTCCCAACAGAAGGTTGGAAGATTTTGCCTTTTAGTTCCTTAGAAAATCTGTTCAATTTTCCTCTATGATCAATGCATATTAAAACCAATGTAGAGAGCTGACCAGGGACATTGCTTTGTTCTACTATATCACCTTTGGGGTAGTTAAATGAAGTTTTTCCAAGTCTGTGAAACAACTAATCGTCATTTTTTAAAACAATTTTACTGTGTTATTATTCCTAAAGTGTCTCTAGAACTTTTCTCTTTCAAGGATAGTGGATTGTGGTAAGGCTAAATGTTTAATGAGTCTCTATGTTAAAGACTGCACTTATCTTCCAATTAACCCCAAGACCACTCTGGTATTTTTGTAAATCCACAGAAGTATTTTGAGTGAGGCCTAAAGGGTAAGCTGCAGGCAGCCTGTGAAAAGTGTAAAAAGACTAACCTGCTAACAAACCTTGTGCAATGGGACAAAGAAAGTTTAATCCGTATTATGGTAAATGCAGGCTTAGTGTCCCAAAAGGGCTTTGCAGAGTGGAGCAAAACAAAGAAGGGGCAGCGCTAATAAAAATCCAGTGCTTTTATTTTTATACACAAAATTGTTGCAAAAGGAAAACTGATAACAGCATTAAGAAAAGGTTTGAATAGTGGTTTTAAATATGATACTAAACATTGTATTTGTTCACCAATTGAATGCAGTTTGTTGTACACAAAGAAGCTAAAAGTAACATGTGCAGCGTGGCCATGTTAATATTGCTAAAGAAACCTTTAGTTGAATAGTATGATTTTAGAGCTTTAGTTCAAAGTCGTAATATCGCAATAGCATTACTTTTGCAAAATACACAAATCTTTCTTCTATATGAAAAATGTGGATTAAAAAAGACTTGCTTGTTCAAGCTTTAACTACAGTAGTTTCTTACATGCCTTCAGAGCTTTGGGGGAAGCATATGCTCTTTGTGACTATACCTGTAATTTTAGAATCATGTAGCCCAAATGGATAGGAAAAAGAAAAAAAAAAACTTTTTCTTTTCTGAATTAGCTGTTGCATCAGAAGTTGAATTTTGGAAAAGTTTGGTTTTTTAACACTCAAAAATCAAAGACCAAGATTATTTTTACTCTAATAAGTAATAGAATATTGAATAACTTTCCTAGCATGAGTTAAAAGAAATTGTTTTCTTGTTTGATCATGTTTTTAATGACTACCTTATTGTTGTTTTAAGATAACTTCTAATCTAACTTTTTATGTCTTTAAATTCTTAACAAATTTGAAATCAAATATTTCCTATCTTAGCCAGTATTCAGTACATATAAACCTATTTTTAAAGCATAAAATGGTTTTAGATATTATATAATTGTTGTTTTGTTCACCTGTTTACCACAGAGTTAAGTTGCGAATTATTTTTTTTAAGCTTAATGTTCACATTTTTATTTTAAAAAGAATTATGATTGTGGTCTCAGAATAATAACAGATTCCCTGGATGGGATTCTAAAGTGCAATAAGTAAAATAAAAGAATTAATAATGAATTTAACTGATAGGTTTCAGATATCACGAAGGATATGAAATTTCAGGAGTAAAATTTTCTGAGATTGTAGCAACAATATCTTAGAATATTGGAATGTATTTTACAATTGATTTGTAATCTTCTTTTGAGGTTAAACTTTTGTATTTATTTTAACTAGTACATTCTAGCTCATATATATGCCAAAGTTTTTCTGAAATAATTTGTATGCATTATTTTTAACTGAGATTACCTTGATTATGGTATTAATAACAAAGATGTTAATTCATTTTATTATGAAATGCTTCATCGTTTTTAAAGGCTTTCATGAGCATAATTTTATTAATAGATCCCAGCTCTTTAAGGTTTGTGGGACAAGCATTAATATTTTCTATTTTACAGAAGAGGAATATGAGGCTTTGTGATGTTAAGCACTTCACATCATCATATAGGTAACAGGCGATACAATCTGAAGTCAAATCTAGGGTTCTGACTCCAGATTCACCACATGAAACTGAAGGCAGTGTAGAAACAAATTGCAATTTTTTCACTTTTTCTTGTTTGTTTTGGTTATCAGAACATTTTATATTCATATGAAGGAATTTATAACGATGGAAGAGAGTATTTTAACTGAATGTTGCAATGCATATGAGCCCTGCCTTAATTTGATATATGTAAGCCCAATTTTAGAAATCAAATGAGGGTGTGAGGGTCAGGCCCATATGTTTAGACCTTGGGAATTCAATAGTGAGCAAGACAAACATGGTTTTTCTTAATGTTACAGAGCTTACATGCCAACAGGGGGTGAACAACAAGCTTCAATATACTGTAGAAATTGCTGTGGCAAGGAAGTGTGGAGTAGCATGGAAATGTATATCTGGGCACTGAATCTATTTGGGGGTCAGGGATAGGAGAAGGGAATTAAAGGAAGGCTTCATTGAGGAAACGACATTTGAAGTGTGAACTGAAAGATGAGCGGTTATTGTATTCCAGGCTTAGGGTAAATGTCAGTTTAAAGAGATAGTTTGTTGAGATGGAGGAATAGAAAGAATTATGGTATGGGAGGCCAAGGTGGGTGTATCACTGGAGGTCAGGGGTTTGAGACCAGCCTGGCCAACATGGCAAAACTCCGTCACTACTAAAAATACAAAAATTAGCTGGGCATGGTGGCATGCACCTGTAATCTCAGCTACTCAGGAGACTGAGGCATGAGAATCACTGGAACCCAGGAGGAGGAGGTTGCAGTGAGCCGAGATCGTACCACTGCACTCCAGTCTGGGCAACAGATTGAGACTCTGTCTTGAAAGAAAAAAAAAAAAAGAAAGGAAGAATTATGTTTGGAGCTGAGGGTTTAGTAAGCAGATTGTAGGAGGCAAAGCTGGACAGGTAGACAAATGCCAGTTGATACTATTCTAAGGACAGTGGAGACTACTGAAGAGCAGTAAGCTAGTAACTAAACCCAATCAGATTTGTTTCTTTAAAAGTTTAATTTGGGGATGTTTGTATTCTAAAAGTGCTGTGTTTTACAAGCTTTCATAACTTTAGGTCATAACATGTACATATTAATATATATAAAATATATTTTAGTTGCCCTTTTAGTATGTAAATGACTGGTATTTGTTGAGGTACTTTGGTAATAAAATGCTATACTTCAAAAGATTGGGACATGTCTGACTATTTTGATGTGATGATTGTCTCATATACTTACTGAATAAGAAATTGGTTATTTCTAGTGTTGCTGCTGTTGAAACCTTTTCTCGGGAAGCAATCATAAATATAATGACCATATATGTAAATCTAATTTTCTGGGATTGATCCAATTGCAAATATTTTTTCTGGTAGTGAGATTATGTGTCAAATGATAGTTCCCCAATTTCTATTCAGAAAATAAGTTTACCATTCATAAAAGTTTCTGTAATCATCCTAAAAAGTGTCTAAAGAAAACCAAAGATCATGATTGCCTCTTCTGCGTCAAGAAAATATTTGGTTAAAACAGATAAGTGGATAGTTACTCATTTTCTAAACTACCTATTTGAACAAAATGAAAAGGATAGGACATGGCAAATTTCAGTTCACATAGCTGGCAGTGGATAGTATCTCCTTTCTAAGTGTGAAATGTTATTCCTGGACATTAAACAAATTCAGGATGTATTCCCTAGTGCAAGCTCCCTCTTGGCAACAAGATATAGGAGTTCAATGTGTATACAGAGATAAGAATGACATGTAATTTGTGTTAGAATTTGACTGTTAATTGTGTATAAAGCTGTGGCCTTTTCAAGTCCCAACATTTGGCAGGATCGTTAATTGGGGGAAAGAGAGGAAGTTTGAATGAAATTACATGTAGAAAAGATAGACATTTACATAATTAGCAAAGCCCCTTGAGTTAATAAATATGTGTTCTAGTTTTTTGTGGGGGACTGGTGAATTTTGGGACACTTATGTTTTTGGTAATAAAGATGGCAATTTATTTGCATTTTTGTATTTTAATGTTAAGCCTCATTATAAAATTATTTTGGTCTAATTTTTTAGTACCACCAGACTATCTAAAATTTTCTTGAAGTTTGCTATGAAACCTTAAAATTTTTTTGTATGATTATGGATGTGTCATTATCAGATTCATAATTATATGGAATAGAAATTCTGAAGATTGGGTGATTTTAAATCATTGAGTTTGTTTTTCGATTCTGGATTTGTCTTTTAAGAACATTCATAGCTAGGTGTTACAGGAAGCAGGAACTGGCTAGCATCATCAATGCCTTATAAATATTTTCATTGCTTTGTGTTTATATTAACTTTCCTTTATTGATTTCTTCTCGTTAGCTGCAGAAAACAAATTCAGTATTCACTTTTTATAGTAATAAAAAGGTGGTAAAATCATGTTTAATATTTTTGATATGTGCAAGACAGAGTTTATGTCTGATTTGGTCATAACCCAAATACCCAAATTTCTAATATTTAGCACAATGTCTGGTATATGGTAAGTGCTTAATACATGTATCACAAATGAAGGAAAAGGTCATAACAATAACAAGAAATGACACTTTTAATGTGTGATATGCTGTAAGTTTTATATACATTAACTCATTTAATTCTTACAATTATTATTTCTGTTTTATAGCTGAATGAGCTAAGAGAAATTAATTAGTTTGCCCAGCATTGCTAGAGCTAGTTTTGAACCCAGGTAGTCCAATTCCAGAATTCATGCTCTTACCCATTGGTTATACTGCCTGCCTGCAGGAAACCAGAGGATAGGGGAGGAGCAAGGTTTAGAGACACTTGTGAGGCAATGAACCCATTTTTGTTTGAGATTGATTTCAAAAGTAAAAAGCTGGTTAATAAGTACTATAAATTTTAAAATACTATTCTAAAATGCAATGCATGATTCAGACATAACATATGCTTTATTGCTTAATTTTACATATTAGTATGCAATATATGCAGTAAATATTGTAAGTATTTTTCCATTTATTTACTTTCAAGGTATTTCTGTCTTTAAATCTAAATGGAGTCTCCCGAGGCAGGTGGATTGCTTGAGACCAGCTCAAGACCAGGTTGGGCAACATACCGAGACACTGCCTCTACAAAAAAAAATTTTTTTTAAATTAGCCAGGTGTGATAGTGTGCACCTATTGCTGCCTGAGGCAGGATGATCACTTGAGCCCAGGAGTTCAAGGCTGCAGCGAGCTATGAGGTTCAAGGAAGCATCCACTGCACTCCAGCCTGAATGACAGAGCAAGACCCTGTCTCTAAAAATAAATGAATTATAAAGTGAGTCTTCTGTAGATAGTATATAGTTGAATCATTAAAATAGCATAAAACGGTACTAGACACTATAAAAATGTATTTAAACTTCTGAAATTGATACCTTTTAAAAAATCATTTATTCTATTTTTTAATATTTTCCTTCCTTAGGTGTTTTTTCAAAGAGGAGAAATGTCTATATTTGGCATGTTCTTAAGAACTGTTATATATGAAGTAGTTTGGATGGCAGTAGTTTCAGAAATATATTTTAAGAAAACTGATAGGACTGTGAATTTTGAAAGGAACCAATGTTCCAGCTTAACCTCCTTCTCCTGTCCCAGTTTTTCCAGCTTTCCTTGAAGCTAGGACTGATCATTAGGTATATTTTTTGCCAGCAAGAGATAAGTAGAAGCTGGGTTGGAGTTCTGGGAAACCTTTTTATAGGTGGAGCTGACTCAGCTCAGTCATGCTCTTTGGTCTTTATCCTTCTCCTTTCCCTTCTTCCTCCCTGGAACTTAAACATAATACGTGGAACAAGCCAAGAAAATAATAGAACCCCGAGCCTTTATACTATTTGAGCCATTGAACTGACTAAATCCAGTAACTGGCTAACTTTCGTTTACCTTTGTTATTTGAGAAGAAAGGAATCTAAGCTGCCTACAACATTTTTTAGTTAGGTTTTCTGTTACTCATATGTAAATTTTCCTAGAACTGATAAAGCCACCATTTTTTGAGGACAGTAATGGTTATGATTTCCGCTGCTCTATATTAGCATTATAAAATTCATCCTGAAAATCAGAAAAGTTTTGCTGTTTAATGGTGCATCTATATGGTTAAAAATTTACAGCAACAAAAATAGCTTTAAATTTTGAGTTTATGCTCTCTAGTTTCTAAGCAAGATGTTCTTTAAAGTTGATTTTGCTGACACAGGGCCCTTCTTAGCTTCTGTGGCTGTATTTCTGCTAGATAATTGCACCAACTTATATGACACATGTATATCACTGAGTTGTGTAATAGTAACATTTTGAAAGTTATAAAGGAAAAACACTTTTAAGAAAGTATAAGTTGCTATTGTTATTAAGGAATGTATTATAAACATTCTTACAATTGCTTTTTGTTGAGTTACTTTACAACTACAAAATTAAGCCAGGCTATTTTGTAAAACAATAGCATGCCTTAAAATCTTCATTTTTATTGTTTTTCAAAATGTTGGCTGGGCGCTGGTGGCTCATGCCTGTATACCCAGCACTTTGAGAGGCTGAGGCAGGCGGATCACATGAGGTCAGGAGTTCAAGACCAGCCTGGCCAACATGGTGAAACCCCGTCTCTGCTAAAAATACAAAAATTAGCCGGGTGTGGTGACGCACATCTGTAGCCAGCTACTTGAATCGCTTGAACCTAGGAGGCTGCAGTGAGCCGAGATCGCGCCACTGCACTTCAGCCTGGGTGACAGAGTGAGACTCCGTCTCCCAACAACAACAACAACACCCATAAAAACCCATCCCAAATGTTCAGCATACTACCTAAGAGTATTATGGTCTGTTTTCGAGAATGCAAAAATAATGGTCAGTTTATATTATTAAAATGTCCGTAAAACCTAGGTATTTTGTGATATTCTTTATTAAGTAGCAAGACATATAACGGAAAGTAAGTTAGCTATGATTTAATTTAAAAGCTATTCAGTATACTTCAAATGACATAAATACATAAAAATTAAAAAATAAAATACTAAACATTAAAAAACTTTCAAATATTAATACGATATTTGTGAGTACATAAATGTTTTTATTCCTTTACTGATGTTTAACGAACTGATACTCTAAAAGATATTCCTAGAATTTTATTTCTGATAAAATATACAGTTTCAGTACTGACAAAGTAATCTTGAATAGTCTTCTCGGCAACACCTTTTCTACTTCCCTTTGTGAACTTCTAGATGTATATGTATCTCAGTTACTGTTCTCCAGATCACTTAGCACACTGAGTAGTGTTCAGGTCAATTAATGTATAATATTCTGGTATATGTTACGTTGGATTCTAGTGAGGCCATACAATCACTGCCACTTCCAGGTAACTATTCAGAGCAGATATATTGTTTAAGATGCGCTTAAGACTATGTTGATACTGTGAATCTCCTTTCGACTTTATAAGACTACTGGTATTAATTTCAATTGAAAACTCTTGTTTAGATTTATTTCAGAATGTTTCCAACTTTTAGAGATAGGGCATTGGAAATCTATTTTGGACTGAATAAGGAAAGTAATATAAACACACAAAAAATGGCAAGTGAAAGAAGAAAATACCTTAGAATAGCCTAGTTTAGAAATTGGGGTAAAAAATTTTTTATGGCTAACATTTTTCAGATGAAGAAATTGAGGTGCAGGGCTGTTAATAACTTACCCAGTTCATGGTACAGCCTCAATTTAAACAAACTGCTGGGCACTGTGGCTTATGCCTGTAATCCCAGCACTTTGGGAGGCCGCAGCGGGCGGATCACGACGTCAAGAGATTGAGACCATCCTGAACAACATGATGAAACCCCATCTTTACTAAAAATACAAAAATTAGCCGGGCATGGTGGTGCGTGCCCATAGTCCCAGCTACTCGGGAGCCTGAAGCAGGAGAATTGCTTGAACCCAGGAGGCAGAGGTTGCAGTGAACTGAGATCATGCCACTGCACTCCAGCCTGGGTGACAAGAATGAGACTCTGTCTAACAAAAAAAAAAAGTTAAAGGTTTTTAAAACCCTTAACTTTTAGATTCAGAGGCTACATGTGCAGGTTTGTTACATGGGAATATTGAATAACACTGAGGTTTGGGGTAGGAATGATCCTGTCACCTAGGTAGTGAGCATAATACCCAATAGGTAGTTTTTTGTTTTTTTTTTTTTTTTGAGACAGGGCCTCACTCTGTAATCCGGCTAGAGTGCAGTGACATGATCTTGGCTCACTGAGCCTGGGCTCAAGCAATCATTCTGCCTCAGCCTCCCAAAGTGTTGGGATTGGATTACAGGTGTGCGCCTGGCCAGTAGATAGTTTTTCACCCCTTTTACCCCTCCCCATCTCCCCCCTTTAGTAGTCTCTAATCTCTCTTGTTCCCATCTGTATGTCCATATGTACCCAGTGTTTAACTCCCATTTATGAATGAGAACATGTGGTATTTGGTTTTCTGTTCCTGCATTAATTCACTCAGGATGATGGCTTCCAGCTGCATGCACGTTGCTGCAAAGGACATGATTTTATTCTTTGTTATGGCTGTGCAGTTTTCCATGATCTATATGTACCATATTTCCTTTATCAACCCCACTGTTGCTGGGCATCTAGGTTGATTCCTTGTCTTTGCTATTGTGAATAGTACTGCAATAAACATACCAGTGCATGTGTCTTTTTGGTAGAATGATTTATTTTCTTTAGAGTATATATCCAGCAATGGGATTGCTGGGTCAAATGGTAGTTCTGTTTTCAGTTCTTTGAGAAATCTCCAAACTGCTTTCCACAGTGGCTGAACGAATTTACATTTCCACCAACAGTGTATAAAAGTTCTCTTTTGTCTGCAGCCTCACCAGCACCTGTTATTTGTTTGCCTTTTTAATAATAGCCATTCTGACTAGTGTGAGATGGTATCTCATTGTGGTTTTGAATTGAATTTCTCTGATGATTAGTGATGTTGAGCACTTTTTAATATATTTGTTGGTTGCACATTGGACACATTTGAGAAGCTTCTGTTCAATGTCTTTTGTTCGCTTTTTTTTTTGAGACAGAGTCTCGCTCTGTCACCCAGGCTGCAGTGCAGTGGTGTGATCTTGGCTCACTGCAACCTCCCCCTCCTGGGTTCAAGCAATTTTCATGCCTCAGCCTCCCAAATAGCTGGGACTACGGGCGTGCACCACCATGCCTGGCTAATTTTTGTATTTTTAGTAGAGATGGTGGTCTCACCATGTTGTTCAGGCTGGTCCTGAGCAACTGCTGACCTCAAGTGATCCACCTGCCTTAGCCTCCCAAAGTGCTGGGATTACAGGTGTAAGCCACTGTGCCCGGTCCTTTGTTCACTTTTTAATGGGGTTCTTTGGGTTTTGCTTGTTGAATGAAGTTTCCTATAGATTCTGGATATTAGGCCTTTGTCAGATGCATAGTTCGCAAATATTTTCTCCCATTCCATGGGTTGTCTGTTTACTTGGTTGATAGTTTCTTTTGGTGTGCAGAAGCTCTTTATTTTAATTAGATCTCAATTGTCATTTTTTGTTGACATTGCTGTTGCAATTGCTTTTGAGGACTTGGTTGTAAGTTCTTTGCCAAGGCCAATGTCCAGAATGGTACTTCCTAGGTTTTCTTTTAGGATTTTTATAGCTTGAGGTCTTACCTTGAAATCTTTCATCTATCTTGAGTTAATTTTTGTATATTTTGAAAGGCAGTGGTCCAGTTTCATTTTTTGTGTATGGATACCCAGTTATACCGGCACTATTTATTAAATAGGCAGTCCTTTCGCCATTGCTTATCTTTGTCAACTTTTTAAAACTTTTGTTGTAGGTGTGCAGCTTTATTTCTGAATTGTCTATTCTGTTCCATTGGTCTATGTGTCTGTTTTTGTACCAGTATCATGCTGTTTTGGTTATTGTAGTCTTATAGTATAGTTTGAAGTCAGGTAATGTGAAACCTCCAGCTTTGTTCTTTTTGCTTAGGATTGTTTTGGCTATTCAGCCTCTTTTTTGCTTCCATATGATTTTAGAATAGTTATTTCTAATTCTGTGAAAAATGACATTGGTAGTTTGAGAGAAATAGTGTTGAATGTGTAAATTGCTTTGGGTAGTATGGCCATTTTAATGATATTAATTCCTCCAATTCATGAGAACGGAATGTTGTTCCATTTGTTTGTGTGATCTCTGATTTCTTTTCACAATGTTATGTTGTTCTCTTTGTGGAGACCTTTCACCTCATTTGTTTATGTGTGTGTGTGTCTATTATAAATGGGATTGTGTTCTTGATTAGGCTTAGAGCCAAAATTGAAAACCAAACAATTTAATCCAGAGCTGTTGCATTTTAAAATTAATTCATGTAAACATTTTTTAACGCTGATTAGTTTGTTTTATACTGTTCATGGAAATACATCATATACTGAAAACTGCACATAATTGTACAACACACTAACTTTTTGCAGAGTGGACAGAATGATAAAACCAGCAACTAGAATAGGAAACAGAATGTTACCAGCACCAGAAGCCACCTTTGTGCCCCAAAATCGACCGCAATTGAAATTCAGTCACTACCACAAGTGAAATGCTGAAGGGTTTTAAAATAAATTGGTACCCAACAGTCCATTCCTAAATACTTTTCTATGTCTTTAAAACAATATGTTTTCCTACAAAGACCAAAGTAACAATATTATCTAATGAAATTATTAATAATAGTCCTTAATATTATCTCATACCTAATCAATATTTAAATGTGTCCTCTTTCTCCAAAAATATCCCTTGTAACTTTTTTGCCCAAAGTGGAATTTAATCTGGGAATCCTCATTGTATCTGGTTGTTCTGTCTGTTAAGTCTTTTTTTCATTTCAGAGCAATTCTTTACTCATAACACTGGCTTGTTGAGGAGACCAGTGCATTTGTTCTGTAGAGTGTCCTACCTCTGCACTTATCTATTTACTTGCTTATAGTAGTTATTTATATTGTAAAAGATACTTTGTAATCCTTTAAGCTGGAAGTTAAATGTAAAGGCTTGGTTATATTAAGGTAAATATTTTTAGGTGAACTATAGTTGATGATGTATGCCTCATATTGGAACATATGAGGAGACACGTAATATCTGCTGACCCCCATTAGTCATGTCGAAGTTCTGTTCTTAACTACACCACCTCTGAGAGTCAGTAAGAGGAATACTAGCAAATGTATGGGCCACAGCACCCTTGTCTTAAGAACGAAAGTATTTTATAGTACAAAATATCTCTTTCTTATTGACCTTTTAGGTTATTTAGGAAACAACATAGGAAAATGTAGAATGTTTACAGATGTTTTCTATCTTCAATTTTAAAAAGTCTTTGTTTTAAGGTAGATAGTTCTCTAATCTATGAACCAAAGCATTACCCAGCTAAGGAGAAAGCTTTTGATAATAGAGTTTTCTTTTAGCCAATATATTGGGAATTACTGTTCTTGCGTGAATTGTAATTTGCATTTATTTAAATGGTGATATTATGTATTTGTGTAAATATAGAAAGAGAACAAAGAAGGAGAGAAAATCAAGAAAAATGAGTGAAACAATTAAACAGAATAGTAGGTTGACTGCCATGGCTTGTGCCTGTAATCCCAGTGCTTTGGGAGGCCAAAGTGGGAGAACCACTTGAGTCCAGGAATTAGGGACCAGCCTAGGCAACATAGTGAGACCCCATCTTTACAAAAAATAAAGAAAAAAATTAGCCAAGCATAGTGGCATGGGCCTGTAGTTCTGGCTACTTAGGAGTCTGAGGTGGGAGTATCACTTGAGCCCCAGAGTTCGAGGCTTCAGTGAGCAAGGCTTGCACCACTCCCCTCTAGCCTGGGCAGCAGAGAAAGACACTATCTCTAAAAAACAAAACAAAATAATACACAATAGATAAAGGTAAGAGGAGAAGGCTCAGGATTGTAAAATATTGAAACTATTATGTCTAAATATAAAAACATTAAAATATAAAAGGTATAAACAATATTTTTAAATGATTATATATTGCTGTTTAACATTAATTATGTGAAATAATGATTTTAAAAAGAAATGTACTCTCATCAGTTTAATCACAGTTTTATCACACTGATTTTGTCAGCACTGAAACAAAACCTCTGTCACATTAGCTGGAGTTCTCATTAAGCAACTAATCTGCCTAAATCCTCATTAAATTGATAAATTCATTTTTTATAGACAATGGCATCTGATATAGTTTAAGAATGTTTAGAGGGTGAAACAAAAATTGTTGCATACATAGGCTTATTGATTGATTCCTTTCCAATTTTCACATGCTAAATAATATTAAATGTTAATTCTTCCTGTCTCCTTAAAAGGAACTATGTAATATATGTAATATAAACTTAGTAGCATGTTCTTACAGCTTTTTGTAGGAAAAAAGTATCTAAAAACGTTTAGGCTATTGTTTTTGTAATATTGTTTTGTTTTGTACAGTTTACAGAAAAGAAGGATTATTTGTGGAGAACATAATGTAACTATGACAGGTAATTCATGCCTAACATGACAAGTATCTTAAAAACTTTCCACTAAAGCAAAACGTGTAAATCATGCAAAAAGGAGGGTAGCTTTGTATATTAGGAATACTGGATGATGTACTAAAAAGTGTTTTTTTAAAAAAAATTATTATTATTATTATTATTATTATTATTATTATTATACTTCAAGTTTTAGGGTACATGTGCACAATGTGCAGGTTAGTTACATATGTATACAACTAAAAAGTCTTAAATGTGAACAATAATGTATACATTTGGTATACTACTGTTCTATATTCTGGAAAAACCAAGGCCTTGACTAAATGATCTTATAAAATATAACATTGTAATTATTATATATTATCTATGTGTATATTTTATAGTGAAACAATTTAATGGATAAAAAGGAATGCACTTTTTAAAAGCAGCATTTTAATCATTCATCCTTTGTTGCTTCTGAGAAAGGCAGGGCAAATACATATGGTATTCATCCTGAACAACAGGAAAAGACAAGGACTGGGGTAGAGATACTTGATGTGGGTCTGTGGATCATAGAATCCAGCATCTTCATGACTGAGCCAAATGGGATGGCCGTAGGGTTGTTTTATGGCACATTCTGCCATAAAACAGAAGGTGGTGGAATGGAGATTGACTTATCAGCCACTGTGATCTCTATGACTCTTAGGTCAGGCAAACTTGCCAAAATATCATTTCAGGCACTCAGTATTAATACTCATTAGCTAATGTCTGAGTGGAAGGAAGCCCGATGAGTTGAGCACACTGGAATGGGGGGAAAGAAGCTGCTTTCATCCTGCAGCGTCCCTCCAGGGCTGTCTGTTGAAAAAGCTCAACAACGTCATGCTACTACAAAGGAGAAATACTTAAAGTATCCAGGTTCATTACTTCAGAGCAGATAATGAAGGGTAAATATGGAACTAAGAGGTGATAAATTGATAGCTGACACACATGCCCTTCAAACAACAACAGCAGCAGTGTAAGCAAATAGATATATATATGTATCTTTCCCAATAATTAAAAAAAAATGGGTTTTGGCTGGGCATGATGGCTCACATCTGTAATCCCAGCCTTTGGGAGCCCAAGGAGACAGATTGCTTGAGCTCAGGAGTTAGAGAACAGCCTGGGCAATATGGTGAAACCCTGTCTCTTAAAAAAAATTAAAAAATTAGCCAGATGTGGTGACATGTGACTAGTTACCTGAGAGGCTAAGATGGGAGGATTGCTTGAGCCCAGGAAGTTGAGGCTGTGATGAGCAGTGATCTTGCCACTGCCCTGCAGCCTGGGTGACTGAGACCCTGTCTCAAAAAAATTAAAAAACAAACAAACAAAAAAAGATGGGTTTATTAAGTAGTAGAGTTCGGGTGCTCAAATATTGATATTGTCAGTTGCTAACATTGTTATCTAGATTCAGAAGAACATTTTTTTCAGGATGGTAGAAAGATAATAGACAATAAGCCTTGATTATCTGGTTAAGTTTTTCAACATTTGCTGTAGGTCTAGTTTTTAGTTAGTTGGTGAGCATGTCCATTTATAAATAGATAGAAGACACTTACCCACATTAGTAGAAAATTCTTTTTTCCCAAAAGGATAGTTTTTTTCCTCTCAGTATTTTTAAGACTATTAGAAATCAGTTCAACAATTGTTGTGATGTACATAAAAATCTTTTGTAATTTCAGAAGTCATTTTTTCTTTTTTCTTTTGAAAACTCTAGTCTAATTACATATTAAATTTAATTTCTTTCAGTGATTATACTTTTAAAATCTTAAATCATTGAGTCTATTTTATGTATATGCCCATTCTTCTCTTTCTGTTTTATATGACAGTTATAGACTTTTTCACTAATAGGGCTTGCATTTCAAGATAAGGTTGCATGTAAACAAATTAACTTTTAAAAATAGCAATTTCATTTGTAATAATATACCAATTCATAAATTATCACTGGTATTTTTTTTTAAAGATAAATGACCCTATCATATAACACATACTATTAGGTAGTCTAGATGTCTTTGTGTTCTAAGAGATAAGGCTCTTGTATTATTATACCCTAATAAAATGAGTTAATGTTTTAGTATTATTGGTAAAAGAGCACTTGGATATATTTAATAACCAAACTGAGAAACACTTAATTTTAGTTGTCTGTAGCAATATAACACAAATTCTCCTGTAAAACAGATTGCACTTTTGGAATATATTTTAATGTGTATTCAACAAAGGAGAAAATGAAGTGATTGAAGTTCAATTTGTAGCATGTTATTAACCATTTCCGCTTGACTAGATGAGTACAAGGATAATGGATGAGGGTTTTATTATTACCTTTCTGCTAAAATGAAGTGGTATAAAAGATAAGGTGACGAGATTAATGAACATAAGGAAAAGGAGTAATCAATCAAGCTCCAATTGGGAGATGAGAATGACAGTCCTCTATACGATCTGTAAGAACATGCCATTTGAAAAGTGGGCTTTATTCTTCAGTTTTCACTAAACTGTTGAAAATTAACAGTTGCAGCTGCAAAACTGAGCTAAAACTAACAAGAGGACATTTAATCAAATGTGTGTGAAGTTTTCATTTATATTTAAATGATACGCATGGTAGAGGTCTAGCACAGTAGCTGGGATTTCTTACATTTGAGATCTGGAAAGTGTCTTTTGATTCCATGTCCTGTGTCTTATTTTAATTAGGAGAATCCAACTGTTTGGACATCAGTTACAGTTAAGCATGGAGTGCCACTTAACTTTAACTGGGTCTTTTCAGTTTCATATTTTGTATTGGTACTTTTGAAGATTATTTCAGAAAACCAAAATAATTTTATGGAGGTTGTTGATATCATGACATTTTAAATTTATATTGTGCCTATCCACTCATTCATCAAAATTTGTTGAGTGCCTGTTACATGCTAGAAAATTTATTCTAAGTGTTGAGAATATACCAGTGAAGAAATGTGGACAATCTTCTCCTCTTGTTGAGCTTATAGTCTAGTGGGGATAGACATGGAAATAAACACGTATGTCATATGGTGATAATTACTAAGGACAAAGGAAAGCAATAATGTCTCTTCAATAAAAGAGATCTGAATGAAGTGAGGGAAGAAGCCATGAGGACTGTCTAATGAAAAGAACATTCTAGGCAGAGGGAACAGTAAATGGAAAGGCCTGGAGGGAGGAATGTGACTGGAATGGCAAGGAAACATGGTGTTTCTGGAAAATCAGCAAAGTGGGATTGAGTTGCAAAAAATCTGGGAAAGATGAGTTACAAAATATAAGCCAAAATATTTTGATTTTAAGAATCATTCTGAATTATTCATTTAGAAAATATTAATTTGTGTCTAAATGTACCCATGGCTCTGGAGATATGCCAATGAGGACAAAAGTCCTTGATCTTATGTACCTTCCATTCTAAAGTGGGTGGGAGAGAGAGACAATAAGTAAACAAATGGATATACAAGATAATTTCAAATACTACAGTGCTTTGAGGAAATAACACTGGGTAAAATTGGCTTGGGAGTTGGGGCATATGGAAATTCAGGTTTACTGAATTCGTGTCGCTGGTGCTTTTCCTAGTCTTTATTTCTGAATTCAGATCCCAGTGGTGAGATCACAGACACAACTTCTGAGCTTCCCTATGTGTATAATTCTTACTTCACATTATCATTATAAGGGTTTACTAAGGTAATTTTTGTAAAGTACCTAATACAAGGTCTTTCTTTTCCTTTTTTGCTCATCTAAAAGAACAAGAAAGGAATCTTGTTTAGTAATTGTGTCAGGTTTCCCCAGGTTGAGATGCTGAAACAGGAATTCCAGTGCAAGTAGTTGACACTAGCTGGTGACACTAGTAGGGAGGTGGGAAAATGGAACAGGGAAAGGGGAAACAATGATGGGCTCCTTATAAGCCAGCTGCCAGATGAATTTAATCCTACAGGATAACTTTTGGAAACAGTGCAAAATATAACACATAATTATCCCAACTGAGAGAGTTGAGGGAGCTGTGGTATTTATACACCAACTTCAGAAAATTATTCCAAGTCTAACCAGTACTCCCTCAGGCACATGGATGTGTAGATACTGCCAGATGGAAGTCTACAGGAGATTGTTGAAATTGCCAAGGGATATGAGGAGAGCCCTAACAATGTCTACTATGATAGTCTTATTTTTAGGCATCCAGAGTATCTGAGTGTTTATCTCTAAGTTCAGATTTTCTATACTCCCTTGATGATTCTTTTCCTAGATCACTTTTTTTTTCTCTATACTTTTCTGCTTCCTTAGCACTTTTGTATCTTCTTAGAGAATAGATGCCCTGAAAGAGCTTTATGGTTCACACCTGAGGTTGGACAGTTCTTTTCTTAAATGGTTTTCTGAATTTGTATGAACCATGAAGAGTATATATGACAACACCTAATATGTATTTCTTCTTATGCCAGAGCAATTGATTCACATATTAAATTTCAAAAGATTTAAATATCTATTCAAATATTAATTCCTGCCAAAATAGTCAAGGATGGCTTAGTCTACATTTTGGAATGCAAGGATTATGAGATAACATGATATCTGAGACTAGTTTTTAAATACTCTAGAAAGAAAAGTATAATGCGAAATAGATAGAAGAAGATCAACAGAATAAAAAAATTATTGAGTCTAGGTGATGGCTACATGGGAATTTATTATATTCTCTCTACTTTATTTGTATGTTTCGAATTTTCCATAAGAAAAAGTAGAGAAAAGAGTGTACTGATTGTTACAGTCTACTTTGTCTTAAGCTGGTTATTATTTTTTTTTTCTTTTTTTTTTTGAGATGGAGTCTCGCTCTGTAGCCCAGGCTGGAGTGCAGTGGCATGATCTCGGCTCACTGCAACCTCCGCTACCTGGGTCCTGGTTCAAGCAATTCTCCTGCCTCAGCCTCCCAAGTAGCTGGAATTACAGGCACGCACCACCATGCCTAGCTAATTTTTGTATTCTTAGTAGAAATGGAGTTTCACCATGTTGGTCAGGCTGATCTTGAACTCCTGACCTCGTGATCCACCCGCCTTGGCCTCCCAAAGTGATGGGATTACAGATGTGAGCCACCACACCTGGCCAGATTATTGCTTTTAATATAAGCTAATATTGTTTGTTTTACATGGGAACCCAGTGACATCCCCACTCCTGTTACCACTCCTAATTAACAAAATACTTGGATACCTGGAAATTTAATTAATAGATCCTCACAAAATGGATTTGAGAGGAACATGCATACTCACCGTAAAGGTAAAGAGTGGCTTCCAGATGAGTTAGATTTAATCTATAACCTGTTTTGATAGACACACAGACCTGCATATGCGAATAAACCAGTTATTTGGGAAACTGGTCGATTCTAGGATCCATAAACAGAGTCACTGCTAATGATTTTGCTGTATGAAAATATATGTTCTTTCTGAGGAAGAGGAAATCTTTTAAACCCATAAGTCCTGGTGACATGTATGATCTCATGTAGAGAAAAATGTTTTAGGCTATCATAGCTAAGTATATTACAAATTTAAATTATTTTGCTCAACTTCCTTCATTTGGTTCTATGCATACCAAATGAAAAACAAGCACACATTTTATTGTAATTTAGCATCTCATATAAATATATATAGAAGGAGTAATGTCACAGAGGACTCAGGTCATTATTTTGCAACTGTATTTGCAGCCATTTTCCCAGTTATTTCACAAGCATCTTTTATGTTTGTTTTAAAACTTTGTCTGTTTCTTATTTTGTTTTTCTTTGCTAACCCCTTTTAAAAATTCCTTTTTAACAAAGTAAGATATTATCTACCTAAAAAATCGATGATGCTGAAAAGCTCTTTATTACCTAAAATCAATCCTCTACCTCGTTCCTTGACTCACTCTCCTAAGACAACCTTACTGCCTAAAATAAAAAAAGGGAGAGGGGGTGGGCTTATGCTGCTATTTAAAAAAACTTAAGACCTTTAAACTGTATATAGACTTTCTTTTATGGAAATTAAGAAAGTATCACTTTTTTTTTTTTTTTGAGATGAAGTCTTGCTCTGTCCCCCAGGCTGGAGTGCAGTGGCGTGATCTCGGCTCACTGCAAGCTCCACCTCCCGGGTTCACGCCATTCTCCTGCCTCAGCATCCCGAGTAGCTAAGACTACAGGCGCCCACCACCACGCCTGGCTAATTTTTTTTGTATTTTTAGTAGAGACAGGGTTCCACTGTGTTTGCCAGGATGGTCTCGATCTCCTGACCTCGTGATCCACCTGCCTCAGCCTGCCAAAGTGCTGGGATTACAACGTATCATTCTTTATCATCATATTTCTCACACGCATTTTTCCCTATCCCTATCTTCCAAATATAGGTATACCACAATCTAAATAAAATCAGAAGTTGATATTTATAGTACAGTGAGTATATAAATAATGGTCATCATTCAAGCATCAGATGATCCATTACTTCTATATTTTTACCTAAAGAATTCCTGAATCACTTGAGGTTAGGTAAGGAAAATAGAAACTACATTACATAGTTTAAAAAGAAAGGAATTAATGCCTAAAATTACAGACTAACAGAACCAATGGGAAATCATTGCTGGATTTCAAGAAATGTGATAGTACAGGAATTGCAGGTGAACCACAGCTACTTATGTCAGTTGTCTTTGGCACCTGGAATCCACTGCATCTGCCCTCAGTTGTCCCTGGAGAACAAGGCTTCTCATTTTCTTCTGCCATCTAAATATTGTACAAATTCTTTCATTGTGGGCTCTAAGTGAAAAACCTCCTGGCAAGAAGTGTAGGAAACATAGTTTATAAGTTTTCAGTTCTCATTATTCAAGATAGAGCTTAGAAGAGCAGGATAGTGCTGAGAAAAAAATAAGCAGTTTCCAGTATATTTTAGTTATCATCCATTCTTCTGCTCCAACCTCTCAGATTGTTTGCCTAATATACATAGCCCATAGCTGTCATTTTAGGATTTATGTTGTAAATTGGATTCTTTATTTCTTAGATCTCATTCTTCCTTTTCTTTGTCTTATTGGTCCCTTGTTTGGTAATGCTCATCCTTTAATAAATGCCTAAGAAGTACATATCCTTTAATAAATGCCTAATATCTGAAATAATCTTTAGTCTGCCCTCAAGTTTGGTTGATAGTTTGATTAGGTATAGAACTTCAGGTTGACCATCACTTCCTTCAGAATTTTAAAATTATGTCCTTGGTTCAGCCAGTACTTCCCTCAGGTACAGAGCCCTCTGGCAGAGATGTAGGTATCTCGGATTCGATGTTTAAATAATCTAGAAAGAAAAGTATGGTTGAAAAGTTTCTATATTGAGAAAGCAAAACCGTTCTTGGAAATCACTGAGCAGATTTCATGAGACGCTTGCATCTCATTTTGGAGAAATTGCTGATTCCAAGAATAGTGGATACAAAAACAAATTAAATGATACCATGAAGAAATAATCAGCGAGGCACAGAATATGGTAAATTCTATAGATTAAATAACCCAGTTTCTTTAAAAAAAAAAAAAGTAGAAGAAAAGAAGAAGAGAGAGATTCTCTCATTGATTAAAAACTTGAAAAGCGTATCAACGAATTGTGATATATAGATCTTCTGTGATTATTGTTTGGAAACAGTTAAATATAAAAATATGTTTTTGAGACAATCAGGATTTTTACACATAGATAATTTTAATAAATTGTTTATTTTGTTATACATGATAATGGCATCATGTTTATGTTAATTAAAAATAGAAGTCTTCATCTGTTAGGAATCCATACTGAAGAAATTATGGATGAAATGTTATGATGCCTGTGATTTACTTTAAAATATTCCAAAAGGAAAGAAGTCGCAAGGGAAATAGATGATACAAATCTGGCATAATTATTGAAATTGTTTCATAGATTAATATAAAGGTTTCATTATACTAGTCTATTTTTGTGAAGGTCTGAAAATTTTCGTAATAAAAAGTTTAAATAGGAGGGAGAAAGTGAAGAGAGAATGGCTATAACATATTTATCCATCTTTTTATTGAGAAACTGATGCTTGTCCCACAATCCCCCTTATCAAATTTTTCTGTATATCTCATTAAGTAAGACTGTTTTTACAATCTGTAACTGCAAATGAGCATATTATAGAGGAGGTGAAACATCTGTTACAGAAGAATGCAAGGAAACATAGGTTTGGAAATGGAGGTTAAGGGATGTAACCTTCAAAGTCTGCCATAGGGCAAGGGAGTAGATAAAAATGTAAGGTTACTCTCCCATGGTTAACCAGAAAACAGCCATTATAATTTCTCATTTTAAATCAGTAAGCTGTCATTCTGAATTTAGTTGGCCTTCTTTTCTTCCTTTCTTTTTTCTCTGTACAAAAGGAATGTACTCTGTGTCTAGTCTCCTCATTGGCAATGTTGCTTTCTGTAGATCTTAAAAGTCATTTATTCTATTTTGTATAATTGGTTAAAAGAAATATATTCCTCACAAATGAATCTTCCTTTGTAATAACACTTTATTTCTGAATCTGTAAAATTAATGTAAACTGGATTTTGCTGAATTTACCAAGGTAATTACACCCTGTGAGGATTGGTCTCGGTAGCCAACTGGTTTCCTTCTTTAAATAATGTTTACTTCTTTCTTCTAATAGCAAGATTGAAGAGATTAGAAATTTGAGAGGAATAAAATAGAGCTTATTTGTATATGGAAAGAGATGTATGTCTGTAACGGCTTTCCTTGCCTACAACCTAGCATAATATAGTTATATAATTTCATTCAGATGGAAATAGCAGGGGTTTTATAAGATTCCCTAGTGTAAAAGAGAAATCAGATATAAGTATGTGTTGCATAATTGGTGTTTTGTAAAAATTGTGAAATATTTCTATCCTTACGTTCCTGGATGCTGGTTTTTCAAGCCTGTGCCATGATACTTTGATGATATTGTAACTCTCTAAAAGGAAGACTGTTTCTAAAACAGAAACATCAGCTAAAGTGAACCTGTAGTTCCTTGTATTTGTTCTAGAGATCTGTGGTTAGTTTGAATGATGACCTAATCTGTGTCAGAGGCAGGTAGGCCGTTTATCTAGCACACAGCCCATTTTCCCACACACAGACACTGAGGCTGAATTATTTGCTATTTCAATAGGTATTATAGATTGAACTTGAGTCCCTGATAAATGGTTATCAAAGTAATGAATCTTTTGGGCTATGAAAAAAAAGAACATAATGGAAAAACACTGAAATCAAAATGTGTTCTCTTAGTAGAAAAAAAAAAGCCAGAGCATGTCATTGACTGCATAGGAACAGCATAAAATAATATTTTCTTCAGTTTTTTTTAAATATGCAGACTATACACAATGCCTTCTGATGCTCACTCCATAGCTGATAATACTTCATATAAGACATAAATAGAAAAATATTATTGTCTGTAAGTCTGTTTTCAGTACATATAGAATTGAAATCTATTTTAACATTTGCTCTTAGTAGAATTAGACCTTTGTAATTGGACAATTGATTAAAGAGTTCCCAAACTTTCCAAACAAATATCAAGATATATATAGGTCACTCTTTACTTAGAAATTTTGAATTATTGTTAACCTCTATAAAAATGATTACTTCTGTCAGGCTTTGGAGTTGAGATGGGAAGAAGCTAAGAGGATGTTTGGCCTTTGCGAGATTAGAATTCAGAATTATTAAATGATTCAGTCACTTTTTGAATCAAATAGTAATTTATGAGAAAACCTTGGCATCTAATTAATATTTTTAAATTTCAGTGGGACTAATTGCTAGTTTACAGGCAGTATTTCACAATACACAATATTTGTAAGTTGAAGGGACAATCTACCTGTAGCCTGAGTTTAAAGCTTAAATATTTTTTCCTCAGGATATTTTCTACTGTATTTCATTATCAGTGAAAAATATGCCTACAGACTGTGAAAGCCATTAGTAAATATAATAAAGTTTAAGAAGCAAAGATCCCATGATAGATAACTGTATAAAATTCCTGAATGATGCTTGGGCTGCTTTATGCTTGGGCTGGTTTATTTTCTATTGGGTAGAACACAGTGAAATCAGGGTTTGTGCCCATTGGTTTTGGTTTATCCCTTGGAAAGTCCAGGATTCAAATTAGCCTGGCTATATTACCCTGTCTCCACTCTTCTGTTCACATTTATTAAGGTAAAATTATGGTGAAATAAACATTGCAAGAAGCCTGTAGATTAATTTTTGTGTGAGAAATTATGGAGTACAATCATTTGCCTAGGTGAAAAGTACTGTCAGGAAGGTAGTATGGATTGTTAGTGATGTAACTATAAGAAAAAATTAATTTCTGCTGTTCCCATCCTGCCCCAATTATTCTATTTTATGACCATGTATAAGAAGTGCTTGTAGGAGACTATAAGTACTCTCCTGTATCCTTAGATAATATATAGTACTCTGTACTTGTCTTAACAAAGCTTAAAACAACCTTGAAAAGGAACCATCTGATTCACAATTAAATTACCCATCTGCCAGAGCAAAACTTCATTATTCTCTAAAGTAAGACAACAACATGTAGATAAAATAATTGTTAGTCCATAATGTCTAACACACAAAATGACTAGACATGCAAAGAAGCAGGAAAATATGGTTCTAATCCAGGAGAAACATCATTAAATAGTGGAGTCCCAGAAGTGACAGAGATTGTACAACTTTAAAATCTAGTATGTATTTGTGTATAGATGGATGGATGGATGGGTAGATAGATAGATTCTTCCCATTCTAGGAGCTGGAACTTAATTCCTACTCTTCCCACCTCCCTCTGAGGATAGTCTAGATTCAGTGACACATTTCCATAGAAAAGAGTATGCGAAGTGAATTATGGTAACTTGACGGTGGTAAAATCTGGCTAATTCTACCTTAATCAAGTGATGAAGTTACCATCACTAGTGATATCATCTGGATCTCATATAATTCCTCATAGGATATGTCAACTAGAGCATTTCTCACCTGCCTTAGTCTGTTTGTGCTGGTATAGCAAAATACCTGAGATTGGGTAACTTATGAAGAACAGAAATTTATTATAGTTCTGGTGTCTGGGAATTCCACGGTGAAGTCAGTACCATTTGTGTCTGGTGAGGGCTGCTCTCTGCTTCCATCGTGGCACCTTGCTGCTGTGTCCTCCCATGGAGAAAGGGTAAGATAGTGGCCCCTTCAACCTTCAGCCCTTTTATAAAGTTATCCATCCCATTCATAAGGGCAGAGCCCTCATGACTTGATCACCTCCAAAGACCACACTGCCCAATACAATAGAGATTAAGTTTCACCACATGAATTTTGGGGGAAATTCAGACTATAGCATTCCCACCGCAAAATACATGTCAACCTCACATGCAAAACACATTTATTCTACCACAATAGCACCAAAAGTCTTAACTCCTTCTAGCTCAAAAGTTTAACGTCCAGAATATCATGTAGATGCCATCCAAGTCAGACTGAGTGAGACTGAAAGTTGTGTTTTAGCCTTAGCAAGTTGCCTTTCAGTTGTGAACCTGTGAAATCAAACAAGTTACCGCCTTCAAAATACAACTGTGGGACAGGTCCCACAACTCCACTAGACATTGCTCTAGTGGGTGCTGTCTTTGGTGGTCCCAACCCCATGGCTCTACTAGGCATTGCCCTAGTGGGGGCTCTATTCAGTGGCCCCACTTCTGTAGCAGTTTTCTGCCTTGGCCATGGGACTCTTGGAAGGATTCTTTAAAATCTAGGTGGAGAAGTCATGCCTCCACAGCTATTGCACTCTGTGGGCCTGCAGAATTAGCACCACATGGATGCTACTGAGGCTTATCACTTATGTCCTCCAGAGAGGTGGCCTGAACTGCACCTGGCCCTTCCTCAGCTATAGCTGGGGTGGCCAAAGAGCACTGTACTGGAATGCGGGAAGCGGAGACTTGAGCTGTGCTGGTTGGTGAGCCCCAAGTTACCACGGGTGCCTTGAGCCCCTCTGGTGTTGTGGGCCCCTCCTTTGAAAAAGATCTACCCTCAGGCCCTGGCACTCTGGGCATGTAATAGGTGTGGCAGACTCAAAGATCTCTGAAATGCTTTGGGGAGTTATTCTTGCATTGCTTTGATGAATAGCATCTGACTTCCTTCTATTCATACTAATATTGTCACATTACCCAGTTCCAAAACTGCTTTAAATTTTTAGATATATGTTGTAGCAATATTCTACTCTTGACAACAATTTCTCTTTTAGTGAATTTGTGCTCCTCTAACAAAATATTAATACCTAAGTCTGGGTAATTTGTAAACAATAGAAATTTATTTTCTTACTGTTCTGGAGCCTGAAAAGACCAAGATTGAGGCACTGGCAGGTTTTGTGTCTGGTGGAAGCCTGTTTCTTATAGATGACACCATCCTTGGGGCCCCGAAAAGAACTCAGGTTTGGTTTTAGCCCATTAAGGAACATTTTTTATTTCTGTCCTCCAGAATTATAGGATAATAATTTTGTGTTATGTAAGCCACTAAGTTTGTGGTAATTTGTTACAGCAGTAATAATTAATATACCATCAAATAATAGAGATTTTAAATGTGAAGCAAACTGAAGGGAAAATATTTAAATTCATGGTTATATTTGAGATTTCAAAATTTTTCTATCAGTAACTGATAGAACAATAGGTATTGTCAGTAATTATGTAGAATTCATGAACACTATCAACAAATTTAACCTAATTGAGATTGATACATCACCTTTAACTCCAGAATTCCTCATCCTTATAAATGCAAGTGCAATATTTACTGTGAAGACCATTTGTTTGGTTATAAAAGGAGTGCACTAATTTAATAGAATTTAAATAACAGAGATTGTATTCTTTATTCATAATTCAGTTGAACTAGAAATCAAAGTAATGAAGATATCTGGGAAATCCCAAATATTTCAAATTATGCAACATATTCTTAAATAGGGTTAGGCAACCATTAGGGACATTAGGAAGTATTTAACAGTCATAATGAAAATAGAGGCTGGGTACCCTGGCTCATGCTTGTAATCCCAGCACTGTGGGAGGCTGAGGTGTGAAGATGAGTTGAGGCCAGGAGTTCAAGACCAGACCAGGCAACACAGTGAAACCCAATCTCCACAATAAAAGTGAAAAGAAAAGATAATATATCAAAATTAGTGGGATATGGACAAAATAGTACCTAGAGGAAAACCTATAACTGTGAAATTTATATCTTTATAAATAACAATATAGAGAACAACAGAAAAGTTTAAAATCAAATATCTGAGGCTCATCATTAAGAAGTCAGAAGAAGAGCAAATTAAACTCAAACATAAGGAAGGATATAATAAAGGTAAAAGGAAAAAAATCAACTTTAAAAAACTAGAAATCCAGTGAAACCAAAAGCTGTTTTTTAAAAAGTTTGATAAGATTGATAAACATCTAATCAGATTAATAAAAAACAGAGAAGGTATGAACTACCAATATTGGAATAAAAGAACATTATACATGTTATAGCCATGAAAATAATAAATTGGACAATTTAGATTAAATGAACAAATTACTGGGAAGACAGAAACTTCTAAAGCTTATTTAATTAAAAATAAATAACCTAATTAGGTCTCTATTGTTTTTAAGAAAATGAATACATAGCTAAAACACAATATAGGTTGGTGTACATATTATTATGTCACCCAAGTACAAGATAGTATACAATAGGTATACTATTATACTATTATATAGCATAGTTACCCAATAGGTACATAGGTACCCTCGCCTACCCTTCAACCTCAAGTAGGCCCCAGTGTCTCTTGTTCCCTTCTTTGTGTCCATGAGTACTCAATGGTTGGCTGTCACAAATAAGTGAGAATGTGTGGTATTTGGCTTTCTGTTTCTGCGTTAGTTTGCTTAGGACAATGACCTCTAGCTGTATCCATGTTGCTGCAAAGAATATGATCTCATTCTTCTTATGGCTGCATAGTATTCCATGGTGTATATGTACCACATTTTCTTTATCTGATCTACCATTGATGGGCATAAAAATTGTTTTTTCTATGAACAATTCAAAAATATGAATTTAATATCATTTACAATAATATTCAATAAACATAAAATACTTAGGAATAATTTGTTGAAATATCTGTAAGCCCACTGAAAACTACAAAATATTCCTAAGGAAAAAAAAATAAAACCTAAATAAATTGAAAGATATGACAAGTTCTTTGATGATAAGACTCAGTATTATAAAGATGTCATTTCTCCCCAAATTTATCTATCAATTCAACTCAATCCCATTCAGATTCCCAGTAGGTCATTTCAAGAAATTGACAAGCTGCCTTTAAAAAATATATTTGCAAAAGATGTCTTTTCAAGACCCATTTACCATTGAAGAACAAGAGACTTCTAGAAAATTATATCTCCTCAATGATATTAGATTATTAACAAAATGATTAGGCAAGCCTCAAACTGGGAGAAAATATCTTCCATGTATTTATCTAACAAAACTTGTGTCTACTAAATATTAGCAAATCAATAATAAAAAGATAACTCAATAAAACAAATGGACAAAAGATTTGATTAGGGACTTGATAAAGGAAGGCAGGTGAGTGGCCAATAAGCACCTGAAAAAATGTTCAGCACAATTTGTTGTCTTGAAAAACCACCAGGAGACACTACTACACGTTAGGATAGCTAAAATTAGTAAGACTGACAACACCAAATGTTAGCTAGGATGTGTAGGAACTGGAACTCCTATCAATTGCAGATGGGAGTGTAAAATAGTGCAACTGTTTTGAAAACTGTTCTGGCAGTTTCTCAAAACTTAAACATACCACCTATCCTATGAAACAGCAGTGTCACTCCTAAATATTTGTCCAAGAGGACTGAAAACACAAGGTTCACAAAAAGACTAGTACACAAATGTTTACATCAACTTTATTCTTAGTAAACTACTTGAATGTTAAATGAAGGGTAGATACACCAATCATGTTACATTTATACAATGCAATACTACTCAGTAATAAAAAGAAATGAATTATCAATACACAGAACAACTTGGAACAACCTCAAAAACTTTACGGTGAGTGAAAGAAGCCATAAACAAAAGGATACATGATGTACGATTCCATGTGTATCATGCGTAGATTAGGCAAAACTAATCAGAGATGAAAGAAATGAGAACAGTGAATGTTTACAGGAGATGTTGACAGTGAAGAGATGTGAGCAACCTTTCTGGGATGATGGAAATATTATATTATAATAGGATGGTGATTACATAGGTGTCTGAATTTATTAGAAGTCATCAAGTTCCACACCTGTTATCTTTGTATTTTACCAAGTATTTTCTATACCTTAATAAAATTTTAAGTAAAAAAAAAGAATAATGGATTTAAACTTCTAAAGGTTTTCTCTTATTTTAATTCTTAAATGTGCAAGGCTTTGAAAATGGAAGAATGTATTATAAGGAATTGACTTGTCTCATTTAAATATTGCTATTTTGATATGAATTATGAATGAAGTAAAATAAACCAAAGGAAAAAAAATTATCTAGGAAAGGACTATATTTGTATCAACATAAAAATGCATTAACAAATGTGGGACTATTAATGTTTGTGGCAGAGGTCACAGAGATAGGCATTTAAGGATACCGGTCCTCAGGAAAAAAAAGCAAACAAACCCACAGTACCCCAGAAAATTAGTATTCTACTCTTGTTGTTACATTAGGCCTATGGAGATCAGAGATGGGTAAGAAAAAAGTTTGGTGAACTCTGAGATGTTAACAGAGGACTGTGTTTGTTTCCAGTTGCTACTTCTGAATCATGTTTCACACTTAATGACTCACAAAGGTCTGTGAATCATTCTATCAGTCACCTGAATATTTGGTGCCTGATAGAAAACAAGAGTAAAACATTTAAAATTCAAAGGGTTTGTATTCTTATTTTTAAGGACAATGAGAAGGAAGGGAGGCTGGTTGTAGGCGAAGAATTCTCAAAAACCTATAGAAAGAATTTTGCAAACGTTAAAGTAGGGAAAAAAAGGTAAGCAGGTTGAGCTCTGGAAACTAAAAGAAAGGAAAGAAAGATAAGTTGACTTTCATCCTACATGACCATACAGTAGCCTCCCCTTATCCATGGTTTTGCTTTCCATAGTTTTAGTTACAGTGGTGAATCGTAGACTGAAAATTGTAAATAAAAAATTCCCAAAATAAACAATTTATGTTTTATATTGTGCACCATTCTGAGTAGCATGATGAAATCTTGCACCTTCCTGCCTGGGACATGGATCTTTCCTTTGTCTAGCATATCCACACTGTCTACACTACCTGCTGTTAGTTGCTTAGGTTATCAGATCCACTAATGTGGTAACACAGTTCTTGTGTTCAAGTAACCCTTATTTTACTTACTAATCGTCCCAAAGTTCAAAAGTAGTGATGTTGGCAATTGAGATATGCTAAAGAGAAGCTGTAAAATGATTCCTCGAAGTGAAATGGTGAAAGTTCTCGAACTGAAAGAAGAAATAGCGTATGTTGAGGTTGCTAAGATCCATAGTAAGAATGCATCTTTATCTATAAAATTGTGAAGAGGGAATAAGAAATTTGTGCTAGTTTTGCTGTCATACTTCAAACTGCAAAAGTTACCAGCACAGTGCATAATAAGTGCTTAGTTAAGGTGGAAAAAGCATTGCATTTGTGGGCGGAAAGTCTGAAGAAAACCATGTTCCAACTGATGACAATTGAGTTTGGTACTGTCTGTGGTGTCAGATGTCCCCTAAGGGGTCTTGAAACATACCTCTGAGTGGATAAGGGAATTCTACTTTATACAAATACTATTAATATGACATAGAAAAAAATTTAGAAATAATGTCATACCTGCTATCATTCAGATTTTATATGTTTGTGAATATACCCGCAGCTTATTATAAATATAATCTACTCATTGCTTGTTTTTTGTTAGCATGTGCATTTTACTTTTATGCATCCTGTTTTTCTTTGTCTTGGCTTTCTCCTCTTGCCCCCATCATCTATCCCCCAGAACACCTTCTATTTATTTATTTTTTTGATACAGGGTTTTGTTCTGTTGCCCAGGCTGGAGTGTGATGGCATGATCATGGCTTACTGCAGCTTCGACTTCCCAGGCTCAGTTGATCCTCCTGCCTTAGCCTCCTGAGTAGCTGGGACTATGGCTGCATGCCACCATGCCTGGCTAATTTTTGTATTTTTTTGTAGAGACAGAGTCCCTGTGTTGCCTAGGCTGGTCTCGAACTCCTGGGCTCAAGCAGTCTTCCTGTCTTGGCCTCCTAAAGTGTTGGGATTGCAAGTGTGAGCCGCTGTGCCTGGCAACACCTTAACATATATTTGCAACCTAGTACGTAATCTTCTCATGTTTTTCTTCATTTTCATATAAACTTATGTATGTTGTAGGGAGTGAGTGTCATTGATTTACAAAAATAAAGTCATATAATATATACAACTTGGTATGTTTGTTTATCTCACTCCATAATATATTGATTGTGGATATCCAGCCAAGTCAACTCTGTGACTTTAATTCATTCTTTTAAATGACTGAAGAAGATACATCATAAATATACCACCATTTTCCCAGTGATTTGCATTGGATTTCAAAGTCTTATTTTCATTTTTTTGTCACTATGAAAAATGTGGGAATAACCATCCCTACATGTTGATGTAATAAAACTATTATTTCTATTTGTTATCCAAAAGCTTGTTGGGTCAAAGGCCATACATATTTTTATTTTTGATAAATAATTTTGGATTACTTTCCAAAGGGATTTTACATTTCATGCTTCTACCAACAATATACACTTTTGTCTGCACTCTTGTCAGCAAAATGTATTATAACTCTTAATTTTTTTATTGTTTCTGGGGTATAAATTATTTTAATGTCTTTTTTAGTACTACTAATAAACTTCAGCATTTTTAAAATGCTGGACATTTGAATTCTGTGAAATTCCTTTTATATTCTTTATCCATTTTCTATTCATTTTTTATTTTATAAGTATTGTATATTATAGTAACCCTTTATCATGAAATAGCTTTTTCAGATCTTTCACTATTTGACTTTATCAGTCATATTTTTGCCATTAATTTTACAATTTTACAAAGTTATAGGTATAAATATTTTTTAGTACTTTCTGAGTTCCAATTATGGTTTAAAAATTCTCTTGGCCTTTAGATTATATATGTAGTCACATGGGAAGAACAATAGAAAGGTAACTGTGTGCAAGCCACTGTACAGTCTAGGTGCTTTGCATATGTGTTGATCATTCCACATTAAGCTGTGCTATCAGCTTTGTGCATCACAACAGGTACTTAGCAAAAAAAAAAAAAAAAAAAAAAAAAAGAGAATAGAAAATGTCAGACTGAATTACAGTCTAATGTTTTAAAAAAATATATATTTGTTTTTATGCCATTTGCATATTGTTTAAGGTAGAATACTCCTTACTAGTCTTTGTTTTCATCCTTTTATTGACTATTTTCTGGTATATAGTTTGTAAACATTAAATAATTTTATGAAGCCTTTAAAAAAGTCCTATTGTCACTTTAATTATAATTTATAAAACTCATATACATATTGGTTTTTGGTAAATTTACATTTTAATGGTATTTTCTTACTATTATAAAAGTTTTTTGGGTGTTCAGATTGTACTTTGTGTTCCTCTAATAATTGTTTTATATTTTTTGTCCCATGGTCCCTCTCTGCCTTTCTTGTTAAAATTATTCCTAAGTGTGTAATGTTTTTCTTGCAATTATGAATGAAATTTTTTTCTAATTTCAATATTTGTGTCAAATGCTAAAATGGAGAACAAATATTAATAGTTCCCATGTTTATCTTATATATATTTCCGTTAATCATTTGGAGTACTTTGGATATTTCAAATGCATTTTCATCTTTCTTTTCAATGTTTATACCAGGTTTTACATTTTATTATTTCATTTATTACAACTTTTGCAATTTGACTGGTGATAATTATTATTGTAATAATAATTGCTAACCCATGCATAGTGCTTATGATGTGCCAGGCCCTGTTTTACTAGCTGTACCTACACTAATTAATTTAAGACAAGCATCTGAGGTGAGAAGCCTACATGACTGACCCCAGATCACATAGCTAATATTTGTTGTTGGTTTCTGGTAAAAAGTCTTTATTTTACGTAATATTTTCCACTCCTGTTTTACTAACTTTTTTTCTTTAGTGGTGGTTCCTGAATTTGATCAAATGCTTTTCAGCATCTAGTAAATGATGATGCAATGTTTTCCTTTTAATTTGTTGATATAAGGAGTAGATCTCCTGTTGTGGATTTCCTGGTATTGAACCACTCTTGCAATCCAAGAAAATACCCTCCTTGGTAATGTTATATTGTTCTCATTAGACATTGCTGGATTCTGTTTGCTTACAGATTACTTAAGAGTGTTGTATCTTTATTCAGTGATAAAAATGCTCTATTATTTTCCTTTTTGATAGTCTCTTTATCTCTTTTTAAGTTTTCAGCATTAACATTATGCTGGCTTAATAAATGAATTATGGAGCTTCCTATTTTTTCCCCAGTGGCCTAGAATAATTTTTTTCAACGGTAGTTTAAGGCGAGATAAAGGTTAGCTATGAACCTGTTCTGTGGGAAATTACCTAATGCAATGTTGCCTCCTAGTACACTACCAGGCAAGTCGTCCCAGATTTCACAGAACAGAAGGGCTCACAGATCAAATAAGCTTCTCAAAGCAGATGATTCATTAAATCAATTTAACATACGCAATAAGAAGAAATGGAAGAGAGTTGGGATAAGTTAATATACTTCGGATCGAATGCAAGCAGGTAGAAAGATCAGAGTTCTTGAGTCCTGGTTCATGTAACATTTATATGTCCTGTCTCTTTTTCTGCCTCGTATGCCTTTCTTTGATGTTACAAGTGCCAGAATTGAGGTTTGAGTACAAGGGAGACCACAGAAGGAAAGTGTTCCGGTCCAATGAAACACACCAGCTCTATTAGAGACACACAGCAGCAGCTATCCCTGGTCATAGCTGGAGCCAACCAATTAACCTGCTGAATAGTTTTACAAGTTTTTTTCTGCATTTCTTGTGCAGATAAAACCACAGGGGCCAGAGTGGGGCTATACTGGGTATTATCAATGGGTGGGCAATTTAAAGCCGGCATAGATATCATCCAGGTTGTCAGGAACTATGAAAGGGGCCCGGCATGTGGTGGCTCACACCTGTAATCCCAACACTTAAGGAGGCCAAGGCGGGTGGATCACCTGAGGTCAGGAGTTCATGACCAGCCTGGCCAACATGGTGAAACCCCGTCTCTACTAAAAATACAAAATTAGCTGGGCGTGGTGGCACATGCCTGTAATCCCAGCTACTTGGGAGGCTGAGGCAGGAGAATCACTTGAACTCGGGAGGCGGAGGTTGCAGTGAGCCAGGATCATGCCATTGCACTCCAGCCTGGGTGACAAGAGTGAAACTCCATCTCAAAAACAAACAAAACAAAACAACAACAAAAAAACTATGAAAGGTCTGAAATGCAAGCTAACAATTTATCTTGCCACAGTTTCTTAGATGTTGGCAGAAGACATAGGACAAAGGTTAGGGACAAAGACTTACAGCACAAGCAGAGTAAGCATCTTGTTAGTGTCTATTTCCCTCGCATCCCCAAGTTTCATGGAGTGACTTGTTGGAGATGCTATGGACTGATGTGTATTTCCCCAAAATTTATATGTTGAAGCTGTAACCCCCAGTGTGACTGAATCTGGAGATAGACTCTTTAGGAGGTAATGAAGAGTAAATGAGGTCATAAGGATGCGGCCCCAATCTGATAGGACTTTGGCCTTATAAGAAGACGATGAAAGAGAAATTCTCTGTCTCCACTATGTGAGGGGACAGGGAGCAGGAAGTCATCTGCAAGCCAGGAGGAGAGCCCTCAGCAGGAACCAAACTGGCTGGCAACTTGATCTTGGACTTCCCAGCCTCCAGAACTCCAAGAAATCACACCTGTTGTTTAAGCCACCTAGTCTGCAGTATTTTATTAGGGCATCATGAACAGACCCAGGTGGGTGCTGTGTTCCCAATGAGGACCCAGGTGGGACCCAGGTGGATGCTGTGTTCCCAGTGAGTTTACATCCCAGTTAAGCAACCTCAACTGTAGAGAACCTAAAATTTTTACAATGGGCAGTAAGATCTGGCCTCTGCCTTATAAAGCATCATTACCTTTCTTATACTGGACAGTAAACAAACCTGCCCATTGCTGTAAACTGAGATACTGTCTCTTCCAAGGCTATTAATTATGCAAACATCCTTGAAAACAGTGTGTCATATAAGATGGCAATTACTACTTTCCTCTAAGATCTGCAGAAATATGAGAGACCCAGCACAGAGGTAGTATGATTATACCTTGAGGTGGTCTTTCCATCCATCTGTAAATAGCACTTTTTTTGTGTGCCATCATACATTCAATGTATTCTGTCTTTGACAGGTCTTGCTGATTTCAAACTTTAAATTGACTGTACGTATTTAACATCATTTGAATTTTGTCTGTCTCTCATAAGCCACTTACTTCCTTACCTATACTTAACATAGCCTATGACTTTTTGCCTACATCTTGGAAGCTATTATGTTACTATTAATGTTTAATGTTTCTTTTGTGTTCATCTATCACATTTGTTTTCTTGTCTTCTAAAGCAGAATTGAATATTCTTACATAATATAGCAAATCTACATTGCATATTTTTATTACCTGTTCCCTTTTTTGGGGGGAGGTGAAGGTGTTCAGAAACATGTTTCTTTTAGGTTCTAATAATTCACTGCAGAACAAGGACTCTTCATCTTTTTTTTTTTTTTTTTTTTTTCTCAAAAAGCACTGTCTTTGTTTGGGCTGCTATAACAAAGTACCATAGACTGGGTGGCTTATAAACAACAGAAATTTATTTCTCACAGTTCTGGAGGCTGAAAGTCTGAGATTAGGATGCCAGCATGGTAGATTCTGGTGTGGAGCCCTAGACTGCTGACTCCTGATTCTATCCTTACCTGGTGGAAAGAGGGCTAGAGAGCTTTCTGGAGTCTCTTATTATAATCCCATTCATGAGGGCTCTCCTCTAAGTACTTGTTCACCTCCCAAAGTCCAAATCACCTCCTGTTGCCATCACGTTGGAAGTTAGGATTTCAACATATTTTGGAAAGACACATTCAGTTCATAACACTCACTTTTTAATTCTTATAATAAGTTCCTTTTAAATGATCTAAATCATAAGTTTCCAGTTCCTTAGTAGTTATGAAAGGTCATTTGAACCACTTTCTCCAGATACAACAAATTTGGCTAACCTTGATTATGGCCTCCCCAATGCCCTTACCAGGGGCTGAAATACACAGTTCGCTATTTTAAAAAGCCTAAAGATCTCTCTTTTCTGTTCAGTTTTGAAACTAATTATAGAAACATGGAGTGGAAGATGAGGAATCTGTTTCAACTGAAATTGTTAATCTCATCATTAATTCATTGGGTATACATTTATTGAGTTCTGTGATGTACCAGTAGCACTGGAATTACTAAAATAAGTACTGTTTAGTATCTGCCTTCAGTAATTGTCTAGTGAGGGAGACATTTACAATTTGTAAGAGGCCTGTGGTAGCACATCTGTTTGAGAAGTCAGAGCTTTTGCAAAATCTTGGCTTGGCCTTTAAGGATGAGAAGTTCTCTGTGGTGGGAGTATTATATAGTGGCTCAGAGCATAATGTCAGAAGTCTGATAGACTTGGCTACACTACTTACTAGTTATGTGATTTTGACTGCGTCATCTAACCTCTCAAAGACTGTTTGTTAATTTATAAAATGGTGAAAATGACATCGATTTCACAGTGCCATTTTGAGAGTTAGCTGAAATAACTGAATTGAATCACTTAGCATAGATCCTGGGATACAATGAGATCTAAGTAAGTTGTGTTTGTTGCTGCTACCGCTATTACTGTCTGGTACTACTTTAATACAACCACTGCCACCACCTCCTTGGTGGTGCACGTTGAAAGAAGCTGCATTGCAGTTAGGAAGACCATCACACTGGGAGATGCTTAAGCATGAAGCAGCATGGCGTGATTGAAGGAGTGTTATGTTGTATGACATGTTTAGAATATAAGATATGTCTATGAAAATGGTAAAAGATGATAAGAACCTCTTCTAAAGTAGGTTTTACCCTATATGACTAAAAGCAGAAGGGAGATAGAGTCAAGTGAAGTAGTTCATTGAGAGGTGAGTGAGGGTCAAAAGGAGTGAGATGTAGTATTTAGCATAACTAAGTTTTTGTTTGGCTTACATGGTGTTTATGGCTCTGCTAACTGAAATAGTCTCAATTGGACTAATGACAGCTGTTGAGGGGTGGTAGTGAGTTCGTTTTTGGATGTGTTGAATTTGAGAGGTTAGGCCAGGCATGGAGGCTCACGCCTGTAATCCCAGAACTTTGGGAGGCCAAGGCCGGAGGATGACCTGAGGTCAGGAATTTGAGACCAGCCTAGCCAACATGGTGAAACCCTGTCTCTACTAAAAATACAAAAAAATTAGCCAGGCATGGTGGCACGTGCCTGTAGTCCCAGCTATTCAGGAGGCTGAGGCAGGAGAATCGCTTGAACCCGGGAGGCGGAGGTTGCAGTGAGCCAAGATCACGCCACTGCACTCCAGCTTGGGCGACAGAGTGAGACTCTGTCTCAAAAAATAATGAAAAGTAAATAAATAAAATAATAAAAAATAAAAGAATTTGAGAGTTTAGAGGGCATATGGTGGAGCTATTTATAGGTGATTGGATATAGGGGTCTAAAACTGACCTCTAATATCTTAGCTCTACATCTCACACCCCAGCGTGCTTTGGCAACAATAGAAGCAGTGATTCGGGATGAAATCACTCAGTGTAAACTAAGAAGGCTAAGAATTCCACTCTGTTGAAATCCAAAGGAAGTCAAGTTGGAATGTACTACAAAAGGAAACTGCGTAGATGTTTTTGAGAAATCCGAGAGAAAGATGGGTGCATTGAGTGACAATTTGTGAAGGTACAAGAGTGGGAAGGTAGTATGAGAAGACATTTAATATATTTATTTTGTAGGGTATCCACAGTAAGTCTCAAGACAGAGAAATTTTACAAATATTTAAGTGCAGACTGCCTTTTTACTTATACTGTGTTTGTCTGGTTTTGACATCTGGATAATGCTGACCTCATAGAACGAGTTGGCACGTATTCTTTCCTCTTTAATATTCTGGACAAGTTTGTATAGAGTTTCTTCCTTAAATATTTGGTAGAATTTACCAGTGTAGTCTGCTGAGCCTGGAGTTTACTTTTTGGGAAGATTTAAACTACAAATTTAACTTCTTTATTAGATATTGTATTATTTATGCAATCTATTTCTTCTTGAAAGGGGTTTGGTAGTTTGTATCTTTCTCTTTTTTTTTGAGATGGAGTCTCACTCTGCCGCCCAGGCTGGAGGGCAGTGGCGTGATCTCGGCTCACTGCAACCTCCACCTCCCTCCTGGTTTCAAGCAATTCTCCTGCCTCAGCCTCCCAAGTCCCTGGGATTACAGGCATGTGCCACCACACTTGGCTGTTTTTGTATTTTTAGTAGAGATGCGGTTTCACCATGTTGGCCAGGCTGGTCTCGAACTCCAGACTTCAAGTAATCTGCCTGCTTCTGTCTCCCAAAGTTCTGGGATTACAGGCGTGAGCCACAGGACCTGGCCAAGTTTGTGTCTTTCAAGAGATCTGTTCATCGCATCAAAGTAGTCCAAACTATTTGTTTATGATATCCCCTTATCCTTTTAATGTCTAAAAATCTGTTTTGATGTCTCTTCTCTCCTAATATTGGTAATTCCTGTTATAATTCCTGATATTCGTGATTTACATCTATTTTTTTTCCCTAATCTCTGGTCAGAGGTTTATCAATTTTATTGATCTTTTTTTAAAAAAACAAAACAAAACACAAAAACAGCTTTAGGTTTTAGTGATATTTCTCTCTTTTTTTTTTTTGGTTTTCTATTCTTTTGATTTTTATTATTTCCTTTCTCTGCTTAATCTGGGTTTAACTTGCTCTTATTTTTCTTTTTTCCTAAAGGGGATGTCAAAATCACTGAAAAGAGATCTTTCTTTCACATTAATATATGCATTTAGTGCTGTAAATTTCCCTCTAAGTACTGCTTTAGCTGTATTCTAGAATTTTTTAAAATTGTGTTTTCATTTTCATCCAATTTTAAATACTTGCTAATTTCCTTTTCGTTTTTTTCTCTTACTCATAGGTTATTTAGATGTGTACTATTTAATTTTCAAATTTGGGGCCTTTTCCAGATAGCTTTTTTTAAATTTTCTTATTAATTGAAAAATAATAATGGTATATATAGGGTACTGTGTGATGTTTTAATAATATGTATATTTTGTGGAATGATAAAATCTGGCTAATTAATATATTCATTAACTCACATACTTATATCTTGTGGTAAGAATGTTTAAAATCTCTTTTAGCAATTTTGAAATAAACAGTACATTACCATTAACTATAGTCACCATGCTGTGCAAACAATCTATTGTTACTGATTTTTAATTTACTTCTATTGTAGTCAGAGAATATACTTTATCTGATTTGAGTCTTAAATTTATTGCAACTTGAATTTTAGCCCAAAATATGCTTTTCGTAACCTTGCTCTGGGGTTGGACTGTTCTATAAATGTCAGTTAGGTTCTGTTGGTTGATGGTCTTGTTCAACTCCTTTGTATCTTTATTGATTTTTCAATCTTCTTGTTTTATTAATTACAGAGGAATGTTGAAATGTTTATATTGTGGGTTCATGTGTTTCTTCTTTCAGTTCTCTCAGTTTTTGCTTCTTGTGTTTTGAAGCTCTGTTATTCAGATCATAAACAATTAGGATAGTTAAATAAAGCCTCTTGATGAAATGATATTATTATAAAATGACCCTCTTTATCCCTAATTAAATGTTTTGCTCTAAAATCTACTTGGGGCTGGACGTGGTGGCTCCTGCCTATAATCCCACACTTTGGGAGGCCAAGGTGGGTGGATCATTTGAGGTCAGGAGTTCGAGACCAGCCTAGCCAACATGGTGAAACCCCGCCTCTACTAAAAATACAAAAATTAGCCAGGCATGGTGGTGGGCACCTGTAGTCCTAGTCCCAGCTACTCAGGAGGCTGAGGCAGGAGAATCGTCTGAACCCAGGAGGCAGAGGTTGCAGTGAGCAGAGATCACGCCACTGCACTCCAGCCTGGGTGACAGAGCAAGGGTCTGTCTCAAAAAAAACAAAACAAAACTGCTTGGTCTCATGTGATGTCTTTTTCTCCCCCCCCCCCCCTTTTTTTTTAAATTTTATTATTTTAAGTTTTAGGGTACATGTGCACAATTTGCAGGTTTGTTACATATGTATACATGTGCCATGTTGGTGTGCTGTACCCATTAACTCGTCATTTAGCATTAGGTATATCTCCTAATGCTATCCCTCCCCTCCCCCCACCCCACAACAGTCCCCGGTTTGTGATGTTCCCCTTCCTGTGTCCATGTGTTCTTATTTTTCAATTCCCACCTATGAGTGAGAACATGCGGTGTTTGGTTTTTTGTCCTTGGCAATAGTTTGCTGAGAATGATGGTTTCCAGTTGCATCCATGTCCCTACAAAGGACATGAACTCATCATTTTTTATGGCTGCATAGTATTCCATGGTGTGTATGTGCCACGTTTTCTTAACCCAGTCTGTCGTTGTTGGACATTTGGGTTGGTTGCAAAAATTTTCTCCCATTCTGTAGGTTGCCTGTTCACTCTGATGGTAGTTTCTTTTGCTCTGCAGAAGCTCTTCAGTTTAATTAGATCCCATTTGTCAATTTTGGCTTTTGTTAACATTGCTTTTGGTGTTTTAGACATGAAGTCCTTGCCCATGCCTGTGTCCTGAATGGTATTGCCTAGGTTTTCTTCTAGGGTTTTTATGGTTTTAGGTCTAACATGTAAGTCTTTAATCCATCTTGAATTAATTTTTGTATAAGGTGTAAGGAAGGGATCCAGTTTCAGCTTCCTACATATGGCTAGCCAGTTTTCCCAGCACCATTTATTATATAAGGAATCCTTTCCTCATTTCTTGTTTTTCTCAGGTTTGTCAAAGATCAGATAGTTGTAGATATGCGGCATTATTTCTGAGGGCTCTGTTCTGTTCCATTGGTCTATATCTCTGTTTTGATACCAGTACCATGCTGTTTTGGTTACTGTAGCCTTGTAGTATAGTTTGAAGTCAAGAAGAGTGATGCCTCCAGCTTTGTTCTTTTGGCTTAGGATTGACTTGGCAATGCGGGCTCTTTTTTGATTCCATATGAACTTTAAAGTAGTTTTTTCCAATTCTGTGAAGAAAGTCATTGGTAGCTTGATGGGGATGGCATTGAATCTATAAATTACCTTGGGCAGTATGGCCATTTTCATGATATTGATTCTTCCCACCCATGAGCATGGAATGTTCTTCCATTTGTTTGTATCCTCTTTTATTTCATTGAGCAGTGGTTTGTAGTTCTCCTTGAAGAGGTCCTTCACATCCCTTGTAAGTTGGATTCCTAGGTATTTTATTCTCTTTGAAGCAATTGTGAATGGGAGTTCACTCATGATTTGGCTCTCTGTTTGTCTGTTATTCGTGTATAAGAATGCTTGTGATTTTTGCCATTGATTTTATATCCTGAGACTTTGCTGAAGTTGCTTATCAGCTTAAGGAGATTTTGGCCTGAGACAATGGGGTTTTCTAGATATACAATCATGTCATCTGCAAACAGGGGCAGTTTGACTTCCTCTTTTCCTAATCGAATACCCTTTCTTTCTTTCTCCTGACGGATTGCCCTGGCCAGAACTTCCAACACTATGTTGAATAAGAGTGGTGAGAGAGGGCATCCCTGTCTTGTGCCAGTTTTCAAAGGGAATGCCTCCAGTTTTTGTCCATTCAGTATGATATTGGCTGTGGGTTTGTTATAGATAGCTCTTATTATTTTGAGATATGTCCCATTAATACCTAATTTATTGAGAGTTTTTAGCATGAAGGGTTGTTGAATTTTGTCAAAGGCCTTTTCTGCATCTATTGAGATAATCATGTGGTTTTTGTCTTTGGTTCTGTTTATGTTCTGGATTACATTTATTGATTTGCATATGTTGAACCAGCCTTGCATCTCAGGGATGAAGCCCACTTGATCATGGTGGATAAGCTTTTTGATGTGCTGCTGGATTTGGTTTGCCAGTATTTTACTGAGGATTTTTGCATCAATGTTCATCAAGGATATTGGTCTAAAATTCTCTTTTTTGGTTGTGTCTCTGCCAGGCTTTGGTATCAGGATGATGCTGGCCTCATAAAATGAGTTAGGGAGGATTCCCTCTTTTTCTATTGATTGGAATAGTTTCAGAAGGAATGATACCAGCTCCTCCTTGCACCTCTGGTAGAATTCAGCTGTGAATCCATCTGGTCCTGGACTTTTTTTGGTTGGTAAGCTATTAATTATTGCCTCAATTTCAGAGCCTGTTATTGGTCTATTCAGAGATTCAACTTCTTCCTGGTTTAATCTTGGGAGGATGTATGTGTCGAGGAATTTATCCATGTCTTCTAGATTTTCTAGTTTATTTGCATAGAGCTGTTTATAGTATTCTCTGATGGTAGTTTGTATTTCTGTGGGATCGGTGGTGATATCCCCTTTCTCATTTTTTATTACGTCTGTTTGATTCTTCTCTCTTTTCTTGTTATTCTTGCTAGTGGTCTAATAATTTTGTTGATCTTTTCAAAAAACCAACTCCTGGATTCATTAATTTTTTGAAGGGTTTTTTGTGTCTCTATTTCCTTCAGTTCTGCTCTGATCTTAGTTATTTCTTGCCTTCTGCTAGCTTTTGAATGTGTTTGCTCTTGCTTTTCTAGTTCTTTTAATTGTGATGTTAGGGTGTGAATTTTAGATCTTTCCTGCTTTCTCTTGTGGGCATTTAGTGCTATAAATTTCCCTCTACACACTGCTTTGAATGTGTCCTAGAGATTCTGGTATGTCGTGTCTTTGTTCTCATTGGTGTCAAAGAACATCTTTATTTCTGCCTTCATTTCGTTATGTACCCAGTAGTCATTCAGGAGCAGGTTGTTCAGTTTCCATGTAGTTGAGCGGTTTTGATTGAGTTTCTTAATCCTGAGTTCTAGTTTGATTGCACTGTGGTCTGAGAGACAGTTTGTTATAATTTCTGTTCTTTTACATTTGCTGAGGAGTGCTTTACTTCCAACTATGTGGTCAATTTTGGAATAGGTGTGGTGTGGTGCTGAAAAAAAATGTATATTCTGTTGATTTGGGGTGGAGAGTTCTGTAGATGTCTATTAGGTCTGCTTGGTGCAGAGCTGAGTTCAGTTCCTGGGTATCCTTGTTAACTTTCTGTCTCATTGATCTGTCTAATGTTGACAGTGGGGTGTTAAAGTCTCCCATTATTATTGTTGTGTGGGAGTCTAAGTCTCTTTGTAGGTCACTAAGGACTTGCTTTATGAATCTAGGTGCTCCTGTATTGGTTGCATATATATTTAGGATAGTTAGCTCTTCTTGTTGAATTGATCCCTTTACCATTATGTAATGGCCTTCTTTGTCTCCTTTGATCTTTGTTGGTTTAAAGTCTGTTTTCTCAGAGACTAGGATTGCAACCCCTGCCTTTTTTTGTTTTCCATTTGCTTGGTAGATCTTCCTCCATCCCTTTATTTTGAGCCTATGTGTGTCTCTGCATGTGAGATGGGTCTCCTGAATACAGCACACTGATGGGTCTTGACTCTTTATCCAATTTGCCAGTCTGTGTAGCCCATTTACATTCAAAGTTAATGTCGTTATGTGTGAATTTGATCCTGTCATTATGATGTCAGCTGGCTATTTTGCTCGTTAGTTGATGCAGTTTCTTCCTAGCCTTGATGGTCTTTACAATTTGGCATGTTTTTGCAGTGGCTGGTACCAGTTGTTCCTTTCCATGTTTAATGCTTCCTTCAGGAGCTCCTTTAGGGCAGGCCTGGTGGTGACAAAATCTCTCAGCATTTGCTTGTCTGTAAAGTATTTTATTTCTTGTTCACTTATGAAGCTTAGTTTGGCTGGATATGAAATTCTGGGTTGAAAATTCTTTTCTTTAAGAATGTTGAATATTGGCCCCCACTCTCTTCTGGCTTGTAGAGTTTCTGCTGAAAGATCAGCCTTTAGGCTGATGGGCTTCCCTTTGTGGGTAACCCGACCTTTCTCTCTGGCTGCATTTAACATTTTTTTCCTTCATTTCAACTTTGGTGAATCTGAAAATTATGGGTCTTGGAGTTGCTCTTCTCGAGGAGTATCTTTGTGGCGTTCTCTGTATTTCCTGAATTTGAATGTTGGCCTGCCTTGCTAGATTGGGGAAGTTCTCCTGGATAATATCCTGCAGAGTGTTTTCCAACTTGGTTCCATTCTGCCCATCACTTTCAGGTACACCAGTCAGATGTAGATTTGGTCTTTTCACATAGTCCCATATTTCTTGGAGGCTTTGTTCATTTCTTTTTATTCTTTTTTCTCTAAACTTCTCTTCTTGCTTCGTGTCATTCGTTTTGTCTTCCATCACTGATACCCTTTCTTCCAGTTGATCGCATCGGCTACTGAGGCTTGTGCATTCATCACCTAGTTCTCGTGCCTTGGTTTTCAGCTCCATCAGGTCCTTTAAGGACTTCTCTGCATTGGTTATTCTAGTTATCCATTCGTCTAATTTTTTTTCAAAGTTTTTAACTTCTTTGCCATTGGTTCGAATTTCCTCCTGTAGCTCAGCGTAGTTTGATCATCTGAAGCCTTCTTCTCTCAACTCGTCAAAGTCATTCTCCGTCCAGCTTTGTTCCGTTGCTCGTGAGGAGCTGCGTTCCTATGGAGGAGGAGAGGTGCTCTGATTTTTTAGAGTTTCCAGTTTTTCTGCTCTGTTTTTTCCCCATCTTTGTGGTTTTATCTACCTTTGGTCTTTGATGATGGTAATGTCCTGATGGGTTTTTTGTGTGGATGTCCTTCCTGTTTGTTAGTTTTCCTTCTAACAGACAGGACTCTCAGCTGCAGAGAGTTTGGTAGAGTCCACTCCAGACCCAGTTCTACCAAACTGTTGGGGTTTGGTAGAAGTCCACTCCAGACCCTGTTTGCGTGGGTGTCAGCAGCGGTGGCTGCAGAACAGCGGATATTGGTGAACTGCCAATGCTGCTGCCTGATCGTTCCTCTGGAAGTTTTGTCTCAGGGGAGTACCCGGCCGTGTGAGGTGTCAGTCCGCCCCTACTGGGGGGTGCCTCCCAGTTAGGCTACTCGGGGGTCAGGGACCCACTTGAGGAGGCGGTCTGCCTGTTCTCAGATCTCAATCTGCATGCTGGGAGAACCACTACTCTCTTCAAAGCTGTCAGACAGGGACATTTAAGTCTGCAGAGGTTACTGCTGTCATTTTGTTTGTCTGTGCCATGCCCCCAGAGGTGGAGCCTCCAGAGGCAGGCAGGCCTCCTTGAGCTATGGTGGCCTCCACCCAGTTCGAGCTTCCTGGCTGCTTTGTTTACCTAATCAAGCCTGGGCAATGTTGGGCACCCCTCCCCCAGCCTCGCTGCCACCTTGCAGTTTGATCTCAGACTGCTGTGCTAGCAATGAGCGAGACTCCGTGGGTGTAGGACCCTCTGAGTCAGGTGCGGGATATAATCTCCTTGTGTGCCATTTTTTAAGCCCGTTGGGAAAGCGCAGTATTAGGGTGGGAGTGACCCAATTTTCCAGGTGCCGTCTGTCACCCCTTTCTTTGACTAGGAAAGGGAATTCCCTGACCCCTTGCGCTTCTCGGGTAAGGCAATGCCTTGCCCTGCTTCGCCTCACGCACGGTGCGCTGCACCCACTGTCCTGCACCCACTGTCTGGCACACCCCAGTGAGATGAACCCGGTACCTCAGTTGGAAATGCAGAAATCACCCGTCTTCTGTGTTGCTCACACTGGGAGCTGTAGACTGGAGCTGTTCCTATTTGGCCATCTTGGCTCCCCTTGATGTCTTTTTCTAAAAATTCTGTTGATGGTCATTTCTAGGAGAGTTTTGTTTAATTAAGTTCTCTCCTCATGTGGGTCATGTTGTTTTGCTTCTTTTACAGGCCCAGTAATTATGAATTGAATGCCAGTTGTAGTGATTTTTGCCTAGTTGTGTGGTGGATATTTTTGCATTCCTTATAATACATTGTTCTGGGATACAGTTAAGTTACTTAGAAATAGTTTGATCCATCTGGAGCTTGGTTTTAAGATTTTTAGGGAGAACTAGAGCAGCATTAAGTCTAGAGCTAACTTTCCCCCACTTCTGTGGCAAAACCCTTTTGAGTAGTCTCTACAGTGCTCCATGAATCATGAGATTTTTACATTCTGTGTGAGCTCTGAGTACTGTTCATTGTAATTTCTTAGGATGATTCTTTCACTGGTCTCACATTGTTTTCTTTCATAGCTTGGTCAGTACTCAGCTGAAGGCTGCAGATCTCTGGAGCTCTGTTGCTTTGCAGCTCTCTCTGATCTGCTACTCTGCCCTGCAAGCTTTTGATGCCTTGATCTCCCTGTACTTCAAGCTCTGTTTTCTCTACTGCAGGAGACCATTACGTTCTAACTACGTTTCTCTATTTTCCTCTGGGCCCTGCAAAGTCTTTCCAGATGGTGTGCTTGGGCATTAATAGGTGTCACAATTTTGTTTCCTGTTTTTCAGGAATCACTGTTTTTTATTGCTTAATATTTAATATTTTGAAAACAACTTTTCAGTATATTATGTTCATTTTGCATATTGTTTAGGTAGGATAAATCCAGGCCCTGTTACTCCATCTTCATCAAAAGTGGAAGTATTCTGACCCTTGAATTTGATTTTTAAAAATTTTTATGTTGTAGTTTTCCATTTTACTCTTCTTCCCCCTTTTGTTTTTTGCTGTGTTTATGTTCATGTGTTCCCAGAATCTTAGATTGTAGATACCTTTTTTTTTTGAGATGGGGTCTTGCTCTATTGCCCAGTACAGTGGCACGACCTTGGCTCACTACACCTTCTGCATCCCAGGCCCAAGTGATTCTCCTGCCTCAGCCGCCCTAGTATCTGGGACCACAGGCACACACCACCACCTCCAGCTAATTTTTGCATTTTTTAGCAGAGACGGGGTTTTGCTGTGTTGCCCAGCTGATCTTGAACTCCTGAGCTCAAGTGATTCTCCCACCTTGGCCTACCAAAGTGCTGGTATTACAGACGTGAGCCACCACATCTGGCCTGATTGTAGACACTTAGTGAAGCTGAGTTGGCCCTCCATCCATCAGTCAGTCTCTTCAGTATTGTGCTAGATACTGTGAATAGAAAGATGACTAAGACTAGTGATGTAGTGTCATAAGAACTCCAGTTAAAGTATGAACTCCAATCTAGTGAGGATTGTGCAACAATATGGAGTTACGCAATGAAATGAGGTTAACCCCAAAAGTCTTATTTAAGTTTTATTCATAATGTTCTATTACATATAGGTCCTTTAAGAAAATGGCTTTTTGGAAGATTACGTCTGAAGGCAAATGTGAGCATAGCATTTAGTTCCATGCTCTATTATGGAAGTGAATACAAATCTGTACTATTCATTTATAACTGACTCCAACTAAACAAGCTTAATATTTAGTAGGAGGCAGGTACTAATTTTAAAAAAGTAGAAAAGTATTTCCCTCTGATTAGGAAAAATGTATCCTGGGGATTTTAGGCTCTTAGCATCAAGTTCTATGTTCCTAATTTTTCCTTTCCATTTTGCTTTTCATTTCTCTTGCTTGCTGTGTTCAAAGAACAAAAGCAAATTTCTTCAAGATAAACAAAGGTTTTCCCTTTAATTTGTTTAAGTAGCTTAGGTAACAGAGAAACTTCCAGTGGCTAAATCATATTGTATCTGCTACACAGAATAGTCTATCAGTAAACTGATATTACTCTAACTTGAAGATTTAGTTCATACATCTGGGAGAGGGGGGATTATTTATTTATTTATTTATTTAGAGACAGAGTCTCGCTCTTGCTGCCCAGGCTGGAGTGCAGTAGTCCGATCTCAGCTCACTGCAACCTCCGCCTCCCAGGTTCAAGGAATTCTCCTGTCTCAGCCTCCTGAGTAAGCTGGGATTACAGGCGCCCGCCACCAGACTCAGCTAATTTTTTGTATTTTTAGTAGAGACAGGGTTTCACCATGTTGGCCAGGCTGGTCTTGAACTACTGACCTCAGGAATATTTGCCCGCCTCAGCCTCCCAAAGTGCTGGGATTACAGACATAAGCCCCGGCGCCCAGCCCAAGGGGGGATTTTTTTTTTTTTAACTTTACCTTTGGTCATTTTATTTTTAAAAAATTTTAAGCAACAGTTGTACGTATTCATGGGGTACATAAAGATGTTGTATACACATAATGTATAGTAATCAGATCAGGGTAATTAGCATATTAATCATGTCAAACATCCTTTCTTCATGTTGGGAACATTCACTATCCTACTTCTAGCTGTTTGAAACTATATGTTATTGTTCACTGGAGTCATTCTACAGTGGTATAGAACACTAGAACTTATTACTGTCTAACTGTAATTTTGTATCTTTTAACAAATCTTTCCATGTTCCTTGCTTCCCACCTCACTTTCCTTGCTTCCCACCTCACTTTCCAACCTCTAGTATCCTCTGTTTTACTTTTTACTTCTATGAGAAGTAAAACACTTTTTTAGGGAGGGCTTTTGATACCCATCAAAGATGGAGTTCATGAAGGAAGAATTGGCATTGAGAAGAAAGAGAGTTTCTGCCCATTGGTTGTTTTAAAGTACTTATTGTGAAATATTCCAATATATTTAAAGTTAGTTTTTTATTAGTGGTGACTTAAATTTTAACTCTCTAGTAAGGAATAGAAAGCTTATGACTATAGAGAATCAATATGGGGAACATTAGACAAAAATACTTAAAAAAAAAAAAAAGTCTCTGTTGCCCAACCTGAAGTACAGTGGTGCAGTCATAGCTCACTGCAGCCTCAAACAATTTCTGGGCTCGAGCAGTCCTCCCACCTCAGCCTCTGGAGTAGCCGGAACTACAGGCACATGCCACCTCAGTCATCTAATTTTATTTTTTGTAGAGATGGGATCTTGCTGTATTTCCCAGTCTGGTCTGGAATTCCTGGCCTCAAGTGATCCTCCTGCCTCAGCCTCCCAAATTGCTAGGATTACAGGCATAATCCACTTTGCCTGGCCCTGACAGAAATACTTTATAGCTTAATTCAGCAACAATAGCATGTTATTGTCACAACTTTTTGAGAAGTAATTGGGAATATTTTCAATCTAAATGAAAAAATTATAAAGGGAAAATTTATATTATGATTTTTTTCTATACCGTACATGTAAGGAAGAACTAAATATAAATATTTTGAAGAAAAAACAATTTGAATATTGTTGGCATAAAGGTGCAAAAATTATTTTGAGTATAGAAATTTAGCCAAAGCAGTGTTAAACCATTTGGGGAGAAACTACCTAAATTAGATAAATGGCTTTCTTAGCCTTTTTCTAATTTTAAGATCATAAATGAATGTATAAGTTATATGCATATTTATGCTTGACTTTCCTTATAAAATAGAAGGGTATTTGTTTAATGATTATCTTCTCAAGGCATTATTTGAATTAGACAAAACTCTTTACTGGATAAAGATAATAAAGTTGTAACTTGTAAAGACACCAGATCATACATCTTTTAGTAGCATTTTTATTACTCTAAAATATTGAAATTGTATATTGAAATGTTTCTTTTGTACAGATACAAGGTAATTTCAGTATCTCCTTTACTAAAATCAGATGAGACCCTTTTATGCCTCGTTCACAATGATATTGACATTGTGGCTTTGTTTTTGTTTGTATTTTAAAAGGTACCTTCAAAGCTAAATATCTATTTTAATTTAGATAAATATCTAAGTTCATTTTGTTCCTTCTCTACAAATTTATCACCCAGCTCTTCACCTTATGTGCTGCTATGAAAAAGATATAAAATATATTCATGTTCCTTGCTATGGTTCCTTAATATCCTTTTGCGGGTTCATTTTGGTTTCTTGCCTTCTTTCAAAAAAAAATTTAGACTTATGGTATAGTTTAAATTTTAAAAACTGAATTAAAAATGAGCTGGAAGATAAATAAATACCTTCTTTGTTCTTCTCCTTCATTACTACGTTTGGCTTTTGACTCATTAAGATTGATATTTAATGCTAGTTGAATAAGAGATGGCTTTTAAGATGCATCATTTAGAATGCAAATTATTTTTAAGCTGAGGAATATTGAAAATAAAACAACCAAGTAAAGAGTCTGAATTATTTACAGGCCAAGGGCTTAAAGGTGCATCAACTCCAGCACAAATATTAAATTATGAAATGGGAATTTCAGTTTGCCATAAATCTGTGTGCCACAGCAGCTTAAAATAAAATAGTTTTACCCATCTAAAGCAACATCAATTTGCCAGTCAGTGCTTCATGTATCAAAGAGTGTTCTGTGAAAATATCAATATCATTGGTTAATATAAATGAAATTAATTTTTAAAGCTGGGCTAAAGGTTGACATCTGAAAAATTGCATTACTTTGCAGAAGAGAAATTTCTGTCTTCTAGTGAAATTTCAGGTCATAAGGGCAAGTAATTTTCACAGTCTTCAATGGGAGCCCGTGAAATATGAACTTCATTGTCACCTAGCCCCAAAGCGATAAGATAAAATGAGCTGATACATCATTTGCTGTGGTTTTATCATCTCCCTCAGTAATTGGAAGAGAAAACATAAGAGTGTGTGTGTTTGTAGGCTCCCCTCTTGCCCCTCCCAACTGCCCCATCGTCCACACCCAGGCTAAAGCCATTTTAGTCCAATCAATACAAAGGTCACATAGCATTTTATTTATATATTTTTAATTTTTCATACTGACTAAAACTGCCAAGTAGAACATTAGAGTAATGAATATGTTTAATTGAATTTGTCACCCATGAAATGCTATGAATACTATACTACATCATAGTACTTGAAACCAGAAGGGAAATATACTGTATAGATGAAAAAAATTAAATAACAACACATGATTAATTTAAGAGGTAATTTTATTTTTTATGTATGACTTTCATTTTTGTTGTTTGTTGAAGTTTGGGGACATTCTAAGTGTTCATGGATATACATTTAGTAAGAAAATTATCAACTTAAATTTTCCACCAGAGTCGACTGTGTGTCATTGTCATTGTCAAATTCAAAAAAGACCTCTAAATTTTACTTAAAGAATATATCCTTGAATTTTAAAACCAAAAGTCATATGGTTGGTGATGAAGTAAATCCTTGAACCAACTAGGATTCAATATTATTTGAGTAAATTACGTGCTATGCTTTGATATCTACCTTCAGAGAAAACTATAGCAAAATGTAAAAACTATGTTAATAACAGTGATGCAACTTTAAAATACTTGATTAAAATTCTTTAAGCTATTTGTTCAAATTACAATTATTGTAACATAAAACATTTGCACATATATTTATTGGTGAATTGATATGAAAGTATTTTTCAATGTCTTTATTTTAAAGGTGGTTCAAATAATTAGTTTTTCCATATTAAAGTGTTAACCTGTGACTATGTAATTATGTTCCATTAAAATGGGATATAGTGAATATTTTCTAGACTTTCTTAGCCATTGTGTTATTGCTTAATGAATGGTATGATTAGTTTACATTTTGTATATTTGGCTAACAACATTTTTCCTGATGTTAAATGTATTGATAGGGTTTGGAGATGGTTCTGTTGTGAATTTTTAAATATTGTTATTGATATATATTACCTGATTTTATTCTTAACACCAAAATCTTCAGAAATCTGGAATTGTCTGAAAAAATAAAATTACTATAGAATTTGGGAAATATTTGGCATAGGGATATGCTATGCTAGTTTTAAACCTTAGGAATAGTAATTTTTAAAATACCTTTTATTGATGTTACATGTGCAGGCTCTCATGTAAGTATTTCTTTTTTTTGAGGTAAAACATTTTATCACTTTTTAATATTTACCCTTCAGGAGGAATTTTAAAACATTTAAAATGTATCAAGGATAGTTTTTTTTAAAAAAATAAAACCTCCCTTTCTATTCACTTAAAGGATTGGCTTTAACTATTTTAAATCTACTTTTTAAAAATCCCTAGTATTCAATAAATAAGAGTATATAGTTGGGCAGTGAGTGTTGGTTTCTATTTTTGTTCTTTCATGAGGACAAGAAAACAAAAAAGAGTTTTATTTGGATAAACTTATAAGCTTTTACAAATGGACTGGTAAAGGGAAAGTAAAAAATGCCTTACTTTTACTAAGAATAAGTGCAACAAAGTGAAGCAATTTTCTTATGTGTTAATAGTATACTATTTGTAGGACAGAAGGAAGAAATACATGCATTATTTGGGAAAAATAATATATCCTTTTCATAAGGCACAGTTTTTAAATAAAACTTTTAAAAAAGATAGGTTTGATGTTTTACAGTAAATAAATAGAATATTTATGTGTGTATATAATCTATGTATTCAATACTAAATCCTTTCTCTCCTCTCTAACACACTGTCTCAACATTTAATAAACCAGCTTTGAAACAAATTATTTAAAACAATTGAAAGCTTAATTTACTAATAATAATACTAACAATAATAAAACAAGGTGGTAAACATTCAAAGAGAGTAAAGATTTCAAGCAATTCAGGAGTTGAGGTCATAACTGCAGAGCAATGGTAATGATATGGTTTCTATGGCAACTGATTCATTGGAGGGCTAGACCTCTGTCTAAGGTGCTGTCAGTGTATGTAGAGTTTCAGTGAACAGAAAGTCCCAAAGAAGGGTCTGTTTCTACCTAATCCAGTTTTAATTGAACTCTAGAGACTTTGAAGTGAAGCCTCAGACCAGGCCTATACTATTCCAATAAGAAATGAACCCCTTGCTTAGCTAGGCCTCAGCTGCTTTTCAGTACTGACACCTTTTCCTAATGAACACTTAAAGAAATATTATTATATAAATTTCAGCTAGTAATTCCTTAGTTAAGAGATTGCTAGTTTCTGTTTTAAATCTCAAATTTTTTGACCCTAATTGTGGAATTTTATTTAATTTTTTAAAAGATTAGGCTAGTTTTTTGGTAAGATTTTAATTTTTGACACCTTTGACAATTTTAAATAATTTTCTCTCATGCTGTTTTTTCTTCTCTAAGTTTTAAAACTTCATTAGACTTTGTCATGTTTAACTTGAAAAGCATATCATTATACATTCAGTATGATACCATTTATATCAGGTTTGAAAACATACAAAGTGATGTGGTATGTTATTTATGGATATATGTGTACTAATAATATAAAAACTTACATATAGATGATAATCCTAAAAACAAGGATAGTGATAGTGATTGGCTGTGACAGAGGAGGAAAATGGGATCAGGAAGCGTTATGCGTGTGAATTTTAACACTGTCTGTAATGCATTTATCACTTTCTTATAGATGTATAGAATAATATGGCAAAGTGTTATGATTTTATAAGGTTACTGAGTAGTAGGTACATGGAGCTTACCTCATTTCCTTTTTTTTTTTTTGAGACAGAGTCTCGCTGTGTCACCCAGGCTGGAGTGCAGTGGCATGATCTAGGCTCACTGCAAGCTCCGCCTCCCAGGTTCATGCCATTCACCTGCGTCAGACTCCCAAGTAGCTGGGACTACAGGCGCCCGCAACCACGCCTGGCTAATTTTATTTATTTATTTTTTTATTGAGACGGGGTTTTACCTTGTTAGCTAGGATGGTCCCCATCTCCTGACCTCGTGATCCGCCTGCCTTGGCCTCCCAAAATGTTGGGATTACAGGCGTGAGCCACCGTGCCCCGCCTACTACTGAATATTTTTGACATTGGAATAAAACAGATTTTAAAGGACTATGACACTTGCAGTGTTTCAAGTAGATCTTTGAATAACCATACTGTTTAAGGGAATGGAATATAAATGGTATATTTTATTTAATCAGAAAACTATTTCAGTACATGAAAAATCTTGTAACAATGCTGTAGTATACTCATTTCTCCTAATAAATGGAGTAGTCTAGAATATGATTAAATCTTTAGTTGTATGATCATGACTTTGCAATGAGTGGATTCACTATTATGGGCAACAGGTCTTATTATATAGCTCTATAGATACAAAAGGTAGAATTTTCAGACCAGTGTGTGATATTCCTAACATATCAAAGAGCTTAAAATATTTTTTGTTTGTTTTCTTTTGATTTTCCTCTTTCCTCTTTAACCCAAGTGCAGGAAAATTTTAAGCAGTTAGTTGGGTTCTAGTTTAACAGATATTTAACCCTTTCTTAAAAATGTGGCAATGTGGTATATACAATGGAAGCTCTGTATTTTTGGGTTAGAAAACCTGGGTATAGGCCATTTTCTGCCACTAACTTGCCAAGGAATTTTGTATCAAATATTTAACATGTCTAGGCCTCATTTTTCTTTTTTTTCTTTTTTTAGAGACAGGATGTTGTATTGTTGCCCAGGCTGGAGTGCAGTGGCGCAATCATAGCTTACTGTGCCATCAAATTCCTGGGCTTGAGTGATGTTCCCATCTCAGCTTCATGAGTAGCTAGGGCTATAGGTGCATGCTACCACGCCCAACTAATTATTTAATTTTTTGTAGAGATGAGGTCTTGCTATGTTGCCTGGCATCAAGCAGTCCTCCCATCTTGGCCTCCCAAAGCTCAGCAATTACCAGTGTAAGCTACTGGCCCTGGCTCTTGTTTTTCTTATGGATACATTGGACTATAAATGTTGCAGAACATATATTGGATTCTCTAATATTTGGTAAATCCAGGGTAGCAAACTCAAGTACCAATGGAAACTAGGTGGATAATAGTAAATGAGTGAATGCTCACATCACATTAGTGAATAATAATAAATGAAGTGAAAATGGTACCAAAATGGAGAGTGCATGCCAATTGTTACCATGTGGCATACAGATCCAGGTTTGCTGGATACCCTAGTTTTTCTTGAGAAGACAGAAATCCGAATATTTTTGCGAATATCTGTTTTCTCAACTATTTTCAACCATGTGAAATTTTGTTAAAATATCATGCGGATCAAATATGGACTGAAGGTTGCCATACATTGATTCATTTAGTCATTCTGAAAATTGCTACTTTGTGCCAGGTATTTTTCTAGGCATTGGAAGTAGGGTATATTCAAAGCCTTTGCTCCAACAGAACTTAGATTCTAGTATTCTAGTGCTGAAGAGGCAATAGGCTAGCAAGCAAATATTATAGTTTGAGTTAGTGGCCAGGTGTAGTGGCCCATGCCTATAATCCCAGCACTTTGGGAGGCTGAGGCAGGAGGATCACTTGAGCCCAGGAGTTCAAGACCACCCTGGGGAACATAGTGAGACCTCATCTCTACAAAAAAATTGTTAAAAGTTAGCTAGATGTGGTGGCACGTGCTTGTAGTCCCAGCTACTCAAGAGGCCGAGATGGGAGGATCATGTGAGCCTAGGGGGTTGAGGCTGCAGTGAGCTGTGATCACACCACTTCACTCCAGCCTGGGTGACAGAGTAAGACCCTGTCTTGAAAATTAAATTAATATTTAAAATTTCAGGTAGTGATAAGTATTATGAAGAAAATCTGGTAAGTTTGGGGTGGGATGAGTTGTTAATGGAGTAACTGGGGTTTAGATCCTGTGGCTTCCCTGCAGAGGTGACATAAGAGGAGAAGTCTAAATGTGAGAATGAGTGAACCATGTGGAGATGTGGGAGAACATTCCAGGCAGAGTGGAAAACAAGGGCAAAACAAAGCCCTGAGGAAGAATGAGTTGAACTCATCTGACAGTCCCAGATATGAGGCTTTATGCAGTCATAAAGAGCTTAAGAGTTTATTATACATGTCATGGGAAGTCACTGGATACTATTAAATATAGGAATGATGTGATCTGATTTGTATTTTAAAATTTTGAGGTGAAGGGTCCTCTGGTCATGGTAGACTTCAGAGGTAAGAATAAAAGAGAGAACAAATAGATGCCTCTGAAGACCTTGGGGCCATAGACCAACTGGTGGTATCTCTGGTCAAAGTGAGAGAAAGGGATACATGCAATCTCTGAGAGTAATGTTCATATTTTTGTCCTCTCGTTTCCTGTTCATTTACCTTTATTTTACATAGGCGTTGATTATATTACTGAATTAGTAGGATTTCTCTCTCATCCATTTCAAAACTGCACGCATGATTATCTTGTCTTTTGAACTTTTTGTTTTGTATTTTCAAGAAACACTCTCCCTTAGAGTTATACCCATTCTATTTCTAGATTCTGTGGTGTCAGAAATAGAATCATTTTTGTAGAAAGACTGAAATACATACTTACTGACTTAAATAAGGTTTGTTACTCTTTTTTTTTTTTTTCAAAAAAACTACATTCTGCACTGGAGAATGTAGATTTATTTGCCATTAGGATTTTGAAAATAAAAATGAGTAAAGACAAAACAGTTTGAGAAGGATAAATTTTTACTACTCGTTATTTTACCTCTTTGCTCATCCCATCTTTATTCCTACAATGTAGTATCATAATCAAATGTTTCATTTGTAATTTTTAATAGTGGTTACTTTTGAGATATATTTCTTAATTTTTTAAACTTAATTTGCTGTCATAGAATATCAGGTTTTGATAGCAAGTGCATCTCATTTTCTTATGTATTATGTATAGTACTGGTGTAGAGAAATGCTGAGTCTGGTTTTCCCTTAACGCTTTCACAATTAAGCTTTTGAAATGAACGTTTTGAAAAACAAAACTTGAATCAAAGCAACAAAGTGGGTTAGGACTAAAGACAGGATTACTTTGAATTGGCAAAGCATTTTAAGCAACTCTGTCTGTCACCTGGGATGACAAGAATTGTAACAAGTTACTCTGACAACCACCTACCCCATAGGGAGATTATGCTAAGTTCATTTGCAGGTTTGTGTTTAGCTTTAGCTGACAAAATGATACTTAACCTCTTATATAGTCAGTGTTTGTGCTTTCTGAATGAGTGACTGTTGCCTTAACAGTGACCTTAAAAGTGTCATTTTTTAAAGTTATGAACTTAATATATTTGTATTATAATGTATGTAAAAGCATTATTGGGCAAATTATAATCATGTGAAACTGAATTGTGTATGTGATTTATAAGCATATATGACATTCTTTTGAGGGCTTTTTGTTTTTAAGATTTTATCTGAAGTTTTACTTTTCATAATGTGGTTTAAAAATCAATCAGTAAATGATGCAATATGTATTTCTTCAGAAGCAGTAGATTATATCATTGTTTTTAAAAGCCCGAATATATACTTAAATGTTTTATAATTTTACTTTGCTTTTTAATTTAAGCTTCTTTTCTATAAATTACAATTTATTTTCTTCATCTCCAAATTATGTCTGTAACTATTAAATCCTTTTTCTTAAAAATTATTTTTCTTAATAGGGTCTTTTCTATTTTAATTGGGGAAAGAAACAACAACAAAAAACAAGTATTGTTACTTACCTGGGATTATTTTTTTCCTCATTAGATCTTGGCATATACAGAAGGGCTGCATGGAAAATGGCTGTTCACAGAGATACGATCAATCTTTTCTCGTCGTTATCTTTTGCAAAATACAGCCCTGGAGATCTTTATGGCAAACAGAGGTAATGTGTTACAGAAATACGTTGTTACAGAGCTAACTTCCATCTCTTTAAGATTTCATTTTTGAACATACCATATTGCTTCAATTTAGATAGTTATTTGTAGCCCACCTTCTGTTCTAGTGACCTCTTTTTTTGTACCAAATGCTTCTTCATGGTTTTTTCCCACCTTGATTATTAATAGAATCATTTGTAATTCTTTTCTTTTTTTTGCCATATCACAAATTGATATAAGGCTTTATAAACATAAGGAATACATAACCATTTAATCAGCTTGAAGAGGAGTTTTGATGTCCTGAGCATTGCTTTGATACTTAATTCCTTCTGGAAGGTGGCTGCATTTGGGGAGAGGAGAGGACAATAACGATTCATATGTCTATTTAATCTTTTGTGTGATATATGTGATATATTGCTTTTATAAAGGAACCATGAGAAAATGATACTGAACTGTCCTGTTTGCTCTGTATTTCATCATTCTTGAAAGTTGAACTAAAATTTAATTTGCAGTTTTACGATGGAACTTGGTGAAATCCATTAAGAAAAGAAGGGGAGACAAGTTGAACTTGAAGGAAAAGCATCATTTGGTATGGGTGGAGGTGTACAATGGAATATATGTAAAACCTACTGATTTATTGTACATATTCCTTGTATTATATATACATGGGTTGATGGTTTCTTATTTTTAAAGGTACACATAACTGCCTATATTCCACACACACATCTTGTTTTTCCTTTATGAAATTATCTGTCTTTAGGGAATACAAATTTCTTTAGGAAAAGATTTTTCCCTTCCTGTTTGATCTCCTCCTGGCACATACCTCTTCTTCTAATCTAAACATTATTCTTCTAGGCAAATAATCAAGAGAATGTTTCACACTTTATTTCAGTCCGCATCCTTGCTGTCCCAAAGGAGCTTCAATCTTAGAATATTTATTACTTGCTCATCCTCATTCATTTTCTTTCTTTGAAATTTCTTATGCATGCTTGTTTTTATATGTGTGTTTTTCTGTTGCCTTTGCCTCGTGGCCTTGACCATCTGCCATAACCTATGATGATTTTTTTCTTCTGTTTATTTTTTCCCCCTGAATTCAGTATAATAGTGGATATGTAAAGGAGGCTTATCTAAAGGATACATACACACACACAGATAAGAATATATATGTATAATATATTCCTATGTATAATTATTATATATTATATATTCTTATATATAATATATAATATATAATATATTCTTATATATAATATATATTCTTATATATAATATTATATATTATATATTCTTATATATTATATATTCTTATATATTATATATTATATATTCTTATATAATATATTATATATTCTTATATATAATATATATTATGTATTCTTATATATAATATATATTATGTATTCTTATATATTATATATTCTTATATATAATATATTATATATTCTTATATATAATATATTTTATATTCTTATATATAATATATTATATATTCTTATATGTAATATATTTTATATTCTTATATATAATATATTTTATATTCTTATATGTAATATATTTTATATTCTTATATGTAATATATTTTATATTCTTATATGTAATATATTTTATATATTCTTATATATAATATATTATATATTCTTATATATAATATATTATATATTCTTATATATAATATATTATATATTCGTATATATAATATATTATATATTCGTATATATAATATATACTTATATATAATATATTATATACTTATATATAATATATTATATATTCTGATATATTATATATTATATATTCTTATATATTATATATGATATATAATATATTGTATATTCTTATATAATATTATATATAATATATTATATATTCTTATATATAATATATTATATATAATATATATTCTTATATATAATATATTATATATTCTTATATATATTATATGTTATATATTCTTATATATAATATATTATATGTTATATATATTCTCGTGTGTGTATATATTCTTATGTGTGTGTATATATTCTTATGTGTGTGTATATATTATGACATTACTAAATATGTTATAGGTGCTTAGTGAATGATCGATTACTTATTTACCTGAATACCTGAAACATGTTGGCAATGCCAGTGTTTTAAAAACTATAGGAACATTGGTATATTTTTTTTTTGGCTTTAAATATTTTTTTAAGGGTTGGTAGAGAAGAAGGACCATCTTCTAGATGATCGCTTGTAGCTTACATATGATTCTGACATTGAAGTTAAAATTCCATGACTGACCAAATGAATATCTTCTAAACTCTCTCAAGATTGTATGATTTTACTTTCATGTTCTTTAAATGGGTAAAAATTTATAGATTACTCTCATAAATTAACATTTATTGCTAAATATGTTTACATATTGACATGTACTTCTTGGTATTCTCATGTATGTGAAATTATTGAAATAGGATGAGAAAGCATTTAAATTTGATTTTTAACTGCAGAGGAAAAATGTTCCTTCAGATCACACATTGTTTTGGATTATATGAACATTTGCTCATTTGAACATATGAAAGATAAACATATAGACATTGTAAAAAGACTGTTTTAAAACTTAATGATTGGAAATAAATGTAACTGATTATTTCATAGCTATATTGGTTGTTTTTTAGTGTTAGTTGTTTAACTACATAAACTTAAATTTTTAATATTTGTTTCTGGAAACTCCTAGAAATACCTTTGACTTGCCAAAATTCATTTTTGTAAATTTAAAGTTGCAGCTTCATGTCACATTATCTCAGCTATCATTATCATTATTATTATCATGTCTCATAATCTCAACTTCATGTCATATCAATGCAACATCAACTGTTATAACACCTAATAGTATTTAGGAAAGCACTGTCTATGGTAAAAGAATTTATAAGTGAAATGAATATTATCACTGGCATATTAATACTAAAACTTGATATATACTATATAAAAGGAATATAGTAAGAATTGTATTTAATAGATACCTGAATTAAAAGTAAATATTTTATTGGACCAAGGAGTCAGTTTTCCAGAAAGGAAGTTATACTGTGTTCTAATTTTTAAAAATCATCTGTTGTAGTTGCTGTGATGTTCAACTTCCCAGACCCTGCAACAGTAAAGAAAGTGGTTAACTATCTACCTCGTGTTGGCGTTGGAACAAGTTTTGGATTGCCTCAAACCAGGTACTGTTTTATATGAGAAACTTAGGGAAAGTAAAGTGTCTTAATAGTTATAATAATTAACCAGTATTAATATTCTTATTAACATTAATCTGTATTAATGTTCTCACTTATTTTGAAATTTATAACTTTCTGTTTTATGTTTCATAGTAAATAATGATTATTAGTATTTTCTTTTGACTAAACTGCATTATAATGTACTGTTTTAAGTTATTAAGTTTTCTTTTGACTAAACTGCATTATAATATACTGTTTTCCCTAGCATAGGGTATGGTGTCTAGCAGAGTATATACTTAGCAAATAATCATTAAATAAAAGATTGCCTAACCTTACCCCAAGAAAAGTGTATATTGTAAGATTTACTTTTTATCTCTTTTATGGAAAGTTTAAATACTAACCTTTTAGGAAAGATATTTATAGTATATATATCGATATAATTACTATTCTTTTCAAAGATACATATATATATAATATATATCATAATGGTATATGTGTGTATAAATATACACACACACGATATATATCATAATGGTACACACACGTATAACCAGAAATACCACATGATCCTGCAATCCCACTACTGGGTATATATCTAACTGAAATGAAAACAGTATGTCAAAGAGATATCTGCACTCCTGTTTGCATTGCAGCATTACTCCCAATAGCCAAGATACAGAAATCAACGTAAGTGTACATCAGCTGATGAATAAAGAAATTTTGGTTGTATATATATGCAATGGAATGCTACTCAGTCTTTAAAAAGAAGGAAATCTTGTTATCTACAATAACATGGATGAACTGGAGGACATTCTGTTAAGTGAAATAAGAAAGACGCAGAAAGGCAAATACTGTATGATCTAAATATGTGAAATCTAAAAAAGTTAGACTCATAGAAGTAGAGAGTAGAATCGTGGTTACCAAGGGTAGAGGTTAGGGGTGGGGTGACTGGGGAGATGTTGGTCAAAGGATACAAAATTTTAGTTAGGAGGAATAGTTGAAGAGATCTATCTTACAGCATAGTGACTATAGTTAGTAACAGCATATTGTTTTCTTAAAAATTGTGGAGACTAGATTACAAAAAATGATGAATATATGAGGTAATGGATATATTAATTTGCTCAAATTAGCTATTTCGTGATGTATACAAGACAAAAAAATGATAATTTTTATTGGTTGCTAATAGTCTGAAATATGAATATATCAAAATTGAGTAATTCCCTCATTGCTGAAGATTTGCTTTATTTCCATGTTTTCATTATTATAAAAAATGCTGTGGTAAAATTATTTATGTATTTTTTCTTTCAAGTTTTATGACCAATGTCTTATTTATAAAATAATATAATAAAAAATATGCTACCTTGAAGTACTATTTGCCTAAACTATATAATTTAAAGGAAGAAAAAACCAAATTGCATAAAAAAGCAATACTCATTTATGTGCTACCTAGAGGAAACCCACCCTTTTTTTTCTTTTGCAGTAGGTATTTTTTTCCAGCTTTATTGAGTTGTAATTCACAAATATAAATTACACATATTTAAGGTCTACCTCATGATGATTTGATACATATATACATTGTTAAATGATTACTGCATTCAAGTTAATTAACATATCCATCCCTCACAGTTACCTTTGTGTGTGTGTCTGTGGTGAGAATACTTAAGATCTACTCTCTTAGCAATTTAAATATGCAATTTAATATTATGAACTATAATCTTCATATTAAACATTAGATTCCCAGAACTTACTTGTCTTACAATGAAAAGTTTGTACACTTTGGCCACATCTCCCCATTTCCCCCACTCCTCTGCCTCTGGCAACCAAGAAGCCCCATTTAAATATAAATACATTTATACGTTAAAGGTAAATGGACAGAAAAAGGTATACCATGCAAACACTACCTTAATAAAAACAGCCAGCTAGTCATATCATTACTATATTAGTTTTCTAGGGCTGTCATAACAAAGTACCACAAATTGGGTGGCTTAAACAACAGAAATGTGTTGTCTCACAGTTTTGGAGGCAAGAAGTTCAAAATCAAGTTTTCATCAGTGTTGGTTCCTTCTGAGGGCTATGAGGGAAGGATCTGTTCCAGGCCGGTCTCCTTGGTTTTTAGATGCCTCTCTTCTCCCTCTGTCTCTTCACATTGTTTTCCCCCTGTGTATGTCTCTGTGTCCAGGTTTCCCTCTTTTACAAAGACACCAGCCATATTGGACTTGGGCCCACCCTGATGACTTCATTTTAACTTGAAAATATTCTCTCTGCAAATTGTTACATTCTGAGGTACTGGGAGGTAGCTCTTCAATATATAGCTTTTAAGGAGTCATAAGTCAACCCATAACAATTATCAAATTACCACACAAAGCATTATATTATCAGAGGAAAAAGTGACATATCATAATGATAAAAGAGCCAGTTCATCAAGGTGATGATCTTAAATTTACATACATCTAAAAATAGAGCTTCAAAATTCATAAGACAAAAGTGGATAGAAGTGGAATGAAATATAGACAGCCTCTCCCTGTTATGTCAGTAATTTAGAGAACAGGTAGACAAAAAATCAGTAAGCATACTGAAGACTGGAACATTATTAACCACCTTGATCTGTGTCACATGTATAAAACATTTTAGTCAATTGCACAAAATACATTCATTTTAAATACACGTAGAACATTTATCACGTTGACCATATTCAGCCCTAAAATAAGTCTCAAAATGTTTAGAAAGATTGAGATCTTGGATCTCTGGTTAATTACAAACCAGAAATCAGTTACAGAAAGGTTTTTGGAAAATCTCTTGAGATTTGGAAATTAATGCGCTTCTACATAAAACATGGGCCAAAGATGAAATTAGAAGAGATATTAGAAATATTCTACTAATTGAAAATAACAGCACAACCTATAGAAATGTTTAACATGAAGATAAAGAAGTGCCTAATGTAGAATTATAGCATTAAATGATTTTATTTAAGAAGGGAGAGGGTAAGGGGGAGGGGAGGAGGAGAGGATCATTGCCTAAAATCAATGATCTTAGCTTCAATCTGAAGAATGTGGGAAAAAAGAGAAGCACATGTAGTCAAAGTAAGCTGAAGAAAGAAAAAAATAATAAAAATAAATGATAGAGAAAAAAATCAGTGTAATGAAAAGCTGTCTCTTGACAAGATTAATAAATGTATTAATAGTAAATATCTAGCAAAGATGCAGAAAGAGAAGACACAAATTAAAAATATTAAGAATAAGGGAGGGAACATCACTACAGATATTAAAAGAAAAATAAAGAAATATTATGAACAAATTTATGCTACTAAATTAGACAACTTAGATGAAATAGATTTCTTGAAAGGCACAAGCTATCAAATATCACTAATGAAGAAATGGTTAATCTTAATAGTTCTACAAAGGAAATTGAATTGTAGTAAAAGACCTTACCTCAGAGAAAACTTGTAGTTCAGATGAATTCTATCAAATGTTTAATGAAGAAATAATACCATTTCTACACAAACTCTTGCAAAAAATAGAAAAGGAGGTTAAATTGCCAAAAACATTATATGAGACCAGCATTACCTGAACACCAAATGCATACAAAGGCCTTTCAAGAAATAGGAACTGCAGACATCCTGATTGGAAAGGAAGAAATAAAATAGTCATTTTAGCATACCTTCTTGAATGTTTATGTGGAAAGTCCCAGGGAATCTATGAGGAAAAAAACAGCAACAACAACAACTGTTAGAACTAATAAATGAGTTTAGCTGTTCATAGCATACTGGGTCAGTATATAAAACTCAATTTTATCCCTGTATGCTAGCAATGAACAATCAGAAATTGAAATTAAAACTAGTGTTTAAATACTATCAAAAAATAAATACATATAGATAAATTTGAAAATGTATTTATAAGACCTACTCACTGAAAGCTATAAAACTGTTTTGGAGAATTAAAACTTAAAAATGGAGAATTGTACTATACTACGCTCATGGATTGGAAGACTCAATATTATTAAGATGTCAGTTTTCTCCAGAATTGATCTGAGGTCCAAAGCAGCTCTATCCAAAATCTGAGCAGGCTTTTTCTTTCTTTCTTTCTTTTTTAAAGAAATTGGCAAGATGGCCAGGCATGGTGGCTCACACCTGTAATCTCAGCACTTTGGAAAGTCCATGTGGGAGAATCACTTGAGCCTAGGAGTTCAAGACCAGTCTGGGCAACATAGGGAGACCCCATCTCTATTTTTTTAACTTAAAAAAAGGAAAAAAGAGAAATAGACAAGCTGATTCTAAAATTTAAGTGAAATTGTAAATATCCAGAATAGTTTAAACAATTTTGAGAAAAAAAAACAAAAGACTTAATATAAAATTACATTCATTAGGATAGCTTGTTATTTAAGGATAGACTCATATAAACCAATGGACTGTAACAGAGTCCAGAAATAGACTCAAACATATATGATCAATTTGATTTTTGACAAAGATGTCAAGGTATGCCCAGGGGGGAAAATGATCTTTTTAACAAATGATGATGAACAATTGGTTATCCATATCCAAAAAGAAAAAGAACCTCACCCCTTAATTTTACATATAAATTAACTCAAAATGTAACAGAAAAAAACGTAGTGTAGACAAACGTAAGTGCTAAAAGTAGAACTTCTTGAAAGAACACATAGGAGAAAAATCTTTGTGACCTTGAATTAGGTAAATATTTCTTTAGATCTTTAATTGATTTCATTAAAATAAAAAACATTTGCTTTGAAATGCCAACTCTTAAGAAAATGAAAATATACGCCAGACTGGATTAAAGTATTTGTTCAACTTATGTGTGATAAAGCACTTACATCCAGGATATGTAGGAAACATACTATATAACAAGATAAGCTTGCTACAAAAAAAAAATGTAAGTTTTGAACAGATACTTCAACAAAGAATAGATATAGATACCGAATAAACACATGAAAAGATGCCAAACATCATTAGTCATCTGAGAAATGCTGATTAAAACAACAGTGTGATCCCATGACATACCTATTCGAATAACTTTTTAAAAATCTAACAATACCAAGAGCAGTATACAAGGCAACTGGAACCTCACATGTTGTTGATGGGGAAGTAAAGTGGTACGACTTCTTTGTAAACAATTTGGCACTTTCATATAGAATTAACCATACACTTTCCCATACATCCTAGGAGTCTCACTCTAGGTCTCTTACCCTAGAGGAATGAAAATATATGTTCATGCAATGACTGCTTCATGAATATTTATAGCAGCCATATTCATCACAAAAATTGGAAATAACCAAGATGGTTATCAACTGGTAAATGGACAAACTGTGATAAATCCATACAATGGAATCTATATAGTACTTAGTAATAAAAAGGAGTGAAGCACTAATACATGCAACAACACAGATGAATTTGAAAATATTATACTAGGTGTACAAAGCCAAAACAAAAGGCTGCATGTTGTATGATTCCATTTATATGACATTCTGGAAAAAGCATAGCTGTTAGGGACAGAAAACAGAGCAATGATTGCTAGGAGCTATGGGAAAAGAGGAAGAATTGCATACAAGGGAGAATAAAAGGAACTTTTGGGGATCATGGAAATATTCCATGTCATAATTGTTCTTACATAAGCCTCTATGTTTAGAAAACTCATTATATTGTACACCTAAAAATAATGAATTTTTCTCTATGTAAATTATTCTTCAACAAACTTGATTTTCAAAAACAACAACAAAGAATGTGTAAAGTTAATGAGGATGTATAGGTTAGGAACTTAATGTATATCATACTAATTCCACTCTTAGGCATTTATCAAGAGTAATGAAAACATACATATTCACATTTACTTTTAAGCAAATATTAATAGCAGTTTTATTCCAGTCTCAAATTGTAAACATTTCTGATGTCCATCAACTGTGAGTGGCTAAACAGATTGCAATACCTGTATTCACTGGAATAAATGAAATACCACTCAGAAATAAAAGGGAAATGACTACTGGTACATGCAACAACATGGATGAATTTCAAAAGTGTTATGCTAAATGAAAGAAATTAAACATTACGGGCTCCATACATCATAGCCATAGGCCATGGTTTTATTTATATGAAATTACTGAAAAAGCAAAACTACACAATGACAGAAAGCAGATTATTGGTTACCAGGGGCCAAGAGTTGGGGCAAGGGAATTAGCTGCAGAGGGTTATGAGGGACCTTTTAGAGTGTATCTTGGTTGTGGTGGTGGTTACAGAAACATATATATATATTCAAATCTCATCAAATTGTACACTTAAGTTTGATAAATATTATACATTTAATATAATGTATTAAATTATATCTCTTCCTCAAGAAACCACAAATAGTGCTCCCATGTGATCCAGAGTTCCCACTACTGGGCATCTATCCACACGAAAGGATATCAGTACATTGAAGAGACATCTGCACCCACCATGTTTATTGCAGGACTGTTCACACTAGCAAAGAGATGGAATCAGTGGTGTTCAGCAACAGATAAGTGGATAAGGAAAAGGTGCCATATATACACAATGGAATACTATTCAGCCATAAAAAAACATGGAATCTTGTCATTGGTGGCAGCATGGATGGAACTGCAGGACATTATATTAAGTGAAATAAGCCAGGCACAGAAAGTTAAACACTGCGTGTTCTCACTCATATGTGGAAGCTACCAAAAGGTTAATCTCCATATGAGTAAAAAGTAGAACAGTGGATACTCGAGGATCAAAAGGGTAGTGGGGAGGGAGAGATGATAGGGAGAGATTTGTTAAAGTATACAAAATAAGAGCTGGACTGAGGAATAAATTCTAAAGTTCTATATAACACTGTAGGATGACTAGAGTTAGCAGTAATACAGTTTCAAATAGCTAGGAGGAGGATTTTGACTGTTGCTAACACAAGTAAATGATAAATGTTTTAGATAATGGGTGTCCTAATTACCTGATCTGATCACTATGTCTTATGTATATCACATCACTGCGTACACCATAAATATGTACAATTATTACATCTATGTAAAACTGTTTAAATAAATATAAAAAATTAATTATATTCCAATCACAATTATTGAAAGATAAGCTTTCTAAGCATATTTAAAAATATCTAAGCCAAAAGTGCTTATTACATCTGTACATGTGATGCTGTTTTAAAAAAGTGTTTATTACAATCATTTTAGTATGTGCTATAGCATTATTTAATATACACATGATAAATCTGAAACTTTTCATCGTTTTGATAAAAATGATTGGATTTTGCTCTATTACATCATACAATTTTTTATTTAATATAAATATTAAATCTATAGATTAAGGATTTTGTAACTATATTTAATTAAAACCTGTATGTGTAGCCTCTGGTAAATCAGAATTCACATATTAGTTTTGTATTTGAATGTATGGACTTAATAACAAGTATTTATATAGTTGAAAGTAACCTAATAAGTCTCTGAGAGAAATGTTAAAATGGCAAAATATCTCTCATGGTATAGGGTATTGGGAGAGTGTAGGTGTATGCATCTTTCTCCTGTATGCTGGGACTACATTGAAGTAGCATAATTACTGATTATTTCCTTTCATAGTAGGTATTGATTCATCATCAATACAATTTAGTTAACTAATTTAAGAACTGGAAAGAGCGAACACTGGGATTTTTCTATTGATTGAAACATATTCGTGGTGGAAACGTACAGTTTACTTTTAGCATACCTAATTTGGTATTGAATTGAGCTACTTTTGATCAGTGTTTATTTTTAAATTTTAAGTATCCTATTACAAATGCAATTGCGATAGAATGCACAAACATCAGCTAGGATGTTAGTAGTAGCTACAGCCAGCCTGTGGCTGGATGGCTGTCAAAGGAATCTCTCATGTGCTCCTTAGCAGTAGGCCTCAGTTCCTTACCGAGTCAGTTTTTCCATCTGTTACTGGAGTGTTACATGACATGGGAGCTGGCTTCCTGCAGAGCAAGTGATCCAAGAGAGAATGAAGCAGAAACCCCAATTTTTAAAAATTACTTTCTCTTGATAGTTATACACCATCATTTCTGCTACATTGTATTCATTTACAAGTGGGTCACTAAATACAGCCCAAAGTCCAGGGGAGGGGAATTAAGCTCCACCTCTCGAGGATGTATTCCAGAACTACCACAGGTCACAACTTTTATGTAAATGGGGCAAATAAAGTGGTCCTTCTGGATTATAAGCTATGTTGCCTTACAATACCGGTAATGCTTTTGATTAGATAATTTTTATAATTTAATGAGGATTTCAGAGTTCAGGAAGAAGCAGCCCAGAGGAGCATAGTGGATTTCCTTATATTAGTTAAGAAGTCTTTTTCTACAAATTATCTCTTTATTTTAGAAAAGTTTTGTTTATCACACCTAGTATATGTTTTCATACCTGGGAATGTTCTGTAATGTTCTCCCACAGTTAAAGCTAGATGTCCTTTTTTTTTAAAGGCAGGGTCTTGCTATGTCACCCAGGCTGGAGTGCTGGAGTGCAGTGGTACAATCACGGCAGCTCAATCTGCTGGGCTCAAGCGAATCACTCACCTCAGCTTCCCGGTAGCTGGGACTGTAGGCACATGATACCACGCCTGGCTAATTTTTTTTTTTAAGAGATGCTGTCTTGCTCCATTGTCCAGGCTGATCTCAAAGTCCTGGGCTGAAGTGATCCTGCCACCTCAGCCTCCTAAAGTGCTGGGATTATAGGCATGAGCCACTGTGCCCAGCCTATAAGTCTTAATTTATTAATCAGTTTCTTAAATAGATTTTCACTTACAATGTGTCAAGCACTCAGCCATGTACAAGATAGAAACCATTTTACCCATACATTTTTAAAACAAATATGTAAACTAAATAGCTGTGATAAGTGACAGGAAGGATATAATTAGAGTGTTGTAGTAGTGATTAGTAGAGTAGAGATGGGTTGCTTTGGATAAGATAACCAGGAATATCTTCCTATGTGACTTTTAAGTTTTGATTTGAAGAAATATAACCAGCTATTCTTTGAACGAAGGCACAGTATATGCAAAGGCCCTGAAGCAAGGCAGGGAGCTTCTAGTGTTCTAAGAAATGTTGGAAAGCAAGTATCACTGGAACTTAGTGATATTAGGAAGAGGGTGTTATTTATATAAGACCGGAGCCTATTGAAGACATCTGGATGATATGTGATGTTGATAATGTAGCTGAAGAGAGACATTCTTGTTTAGAGATTTTTAAGAAATATAATTTATAAGACTCAGAGATTTGGGGGGTGATGACAAGGGGAGATATTCAATATCTTTAGTCAATACTCAAGTCTCAGCTTGAGCTGCTCAGTGGCATTTACTGGGATTAGGAATAATGGACGAACAGTATTTGTATAAACATCCTTCCATCCCCATGGCTGGGGTTGTGTGGAGGAGGTGGAGGGACAGAAAATGAGTTTAATTTTAGGTCCTTGAAATTAGAACCCCTGAGAGACATCCAGATTGAAATGTTGAATAGGAAGCTAGATATAAGGAGGTATGTTGAGAGCTCAAAAGAAAGGCCTAGTAATTGAGAATGACTACCAAGTAGATGAAATTTGAAGCCATGAGAGGGAATGAGTTCATCTGGGGAGAGATTGTAAAATGCCAAGAGGAACTAGAGCTACATCCAGAAAACCTCAACATGTAAAGGTTAGGTAAGGGAAACAGGACATCCCTGCCCTCCCAAAAACAACAACACTAAGAGCAAAAACAGGAGTGGCTCAAAAGACAGGAAATCCAGGAAAATATGATGCCAAGTGTATTAGTCTTTTCTGGTACCTCTATAAAGAAATACCTGAAACGGGGTAATTTATAAAGAAAGGGGGTTTCATTGGCTCATGTTTCCTCAGGCTATAAGGAAGCATGGCTGGAGAGGCTTCAGGAAACTTACAATCATGGTAGAAGGTGAAGGGGAAGCAGACATATCTTATATGGCAGGAGCATGAGGAAGAAGCGGGGAGGGGGGTTGTCACACACTCTTCAACAACCAGATCTTGTGAAAACTCACTCACTGTCATGAGAACAGCAAGGGGGAAATTTACCCCATGATATAATCACCTCCCACCAGGCCCCACCTCCAACACTGGGGGTTACAATTTGATATGGTTTTTCTCTGTGTCCCCACCCAAATCTCATCTCAAATTATAATCCCCACATGTCAACAGAGGACCTGATTGGATCATGGAGGCAGTTTCCCCCATGTTGTTCTCATGATAGTGAGTGAGTTCTCATGAGATCTGATGGTTTAATTTTTTCTTGGTTCTCCCACCCCCACTGCTGCCTTGTGAAGAAGGTGCTTCCTTCTTTGCCTTCCACCATGATTGTAGTTTCCTGAGGCCTCTCCAGCCATGTGGAACTATAAGTCAATTAAACTTCTTTTCTTAGTAAATTACCCCGTCTTAGGCTGTTCTTTATAGCAGTGTGAGAGTGGACTAATACACAATTTGACATGATATTTGGGTGGGGACACAAATCCAAACCATATCACCAAGGGATGGTAGTTTTTAAACATGAAAATATCTGATGAGAAATCAGTAAGACATAGACTGAAAACTGTCCATCACATTTAGCTTTTGACCTCCAGAGGATTGAATGTTGTGAATTTGCCCACACAATATCAAGAAGCTTTACTTGGCAAGCAGGACCCTGAATTTTGTTGGCATTTATGAGCTACTCCTTTTGGTTTAGTTGTGAGAACACTACAAGTCAGGGCCATTAAGACCAAATGTTCTGACTTGTCAGCCAGTAGGACGTGAGAGGGTAGGGACTATTGTGCTAAATCCTGACTCACCACTGATGGCAATCAGCAAGAGAATTAGTCCTGTTATCAGTTTTCTACCTGTGGTGGTTCTTGATCTGGAATATTCTTTCTGACACCCAGGAGCTCTTACAGTACAAGCATATACACACAGATACCAGTTTTAAGCCGTAACAAAAATATATTGAGTCAGCCCAAAGATGCCACCAACAATAGTTTTCATTTTAGTTTTTCTGTTTCACTGCAAGTTTTGCCTAACCCTATCACTTGTTTTCAGGCATTTCCTTTTTTCTATAGGAGCACTAACCAAGGAGTTTAATACATGCATATCAGGGGTTATAACAGCTACCAGGAGATATGTTATTTTGCAGTTAGAAGCTTAGAGAGGTACAGAGAAGGGAGTGAGCTTAGGCTGTGTGGCTAGAGTGGTGGTGGTGTAGGGGGCTTCATTTTTTTTGATTCCATGCTCCTTGGTCTGCACCACTTCCTCCTCTGTATACCTCCCAGAACCTAGAGAGTGCCTGGGTTTGGGGGCATCTTTCTTTTTGTCCTCACACATTCTGCCATGTCTCTGCCATGTAGCTATTAGTGCTTTGGTTACTTCTGTGGCCAGCAACTCTTCCTCCCATGGGACTGAGAAGCATACTAATTTGGATGCTTATATCCAACAGAGGTATAACATATCAAAATATATGAGATGCAGCTAAAGTAGTATTAAGTGAAAATTTACAGCTTTAAACACCCATATCTGAAATAAATTCCTCAAATCAATAACCTATGCTTCTACTGTTAGACAGTAGAGGAGAGCAAACTAAATGCAAAGCAAGTAGAAAAATAGAGTAATGAAGATTATAACAAAAATCAATGAAACATAAAGCAAAAACACTGAAGAAGATCAATGAAACAAAAGTTGATTCTTTGCAAAGATCAGTAAAATTGACAGACTTTAACCTAACCATGAAAGATGACACAAATTACTTAAATTAGAAGTGAAAGTAGAGACATGACTATTGAGCATATAGAATCTTTTTTCCTGTTTATTTTTCTTTTTTTTTTTTGTAGAGACACGATCTTGCTCTGTTGCCCTGGCTGGAGTGCACTTGGCACAGTTATAGCTCACTGCAGCTTCAAACTCCTGGGCTCAAGCCACCCTCCCATCTCAGCCTCCTGAGTAGCTGAGACTACAGGCACATGCCACCATGTCTGGCTAATATTTTGATTTTTTTTTTTTTTTATAGAGATAGGGTCTTCCTATGTTGCTCAGGCTGGCCTCGAACTTGGGCTCAAGTGATCCTCCCTCCTTAGCCTTCTAAAGTGCTGGGATTACAGGTGTGAACCACCAAGCCCAGCCTGAGCCTACAGAAATTAAAAGGAGTAGAAAGGAATATCATGAACAACTTCCTACCAACAAATTAGATACTTAAATGATACGGACAAATTCTTAGAAAAACAGAATTGCCAAAACTGGCTCAAAAAGAAATTGGAAATTTGAATAGACCTATAACACATAAATAAAATGAGCTATTAATTTAAAAATCTTTCCATAAAGAAAAGCCCAGACCCAGTTGTCTTTCCTGGCTAATGCAATAAAATATTTAAACTAGAAATGATATAAATCTTTCACATACTCATCCAGAAGATAGGAGGGAGGAAACACTTGCAACTCATTCTATAAGGTCAGTCACCTCAATACCACTGCCAGACAAAGACATTACAGGAAAACTAACAAGAAAAATGCTATAGGCCAATTTCCGTCCTGAACACAGACACATTTTTTTAAAACAAAATTTAGGAAACAAATTCAGCAGTATATAAAAAGGATTTATAAAATGTTCATGTGGGTTTTATCACTGGAATGCCAGTTAATTTAAATATGAAAATCAATTTATGTCATGCACCAGTATTTATAAAGGAGAAAAAGCTTACTATCATTTCAGAAAAAAGCATTTGACCAAATTCAACACACATTCATGATTAAAAACTCTCAAGTAACTTTCAACTAAAGAAATTTCCACAAAGTGACAAAAATCATCTACCAAAAAACTCCCAATACGTACATCATACTTAATGTTGAAAGACTGAATACTTTCCCCCTAAGTTTAGGAGGGTAAAAATGTCCTCCCATTTTTACCACTTCTATTCAGCGTTACACTGGAGATGTTAGTTTGTGCAATAAGGAAGAAAGAGAGGAAGGAAGGGAGAAATTAAAGATATCTGCACTGGGAATGAAGAAAGAAAGTAGCCCTCTTTACAGATCACAGAAGTGTAAGATTTGTACAATGAAAAGTATAAAACATTTTTAAGAGAAATTAAAAATAGACCTTAATAAATGGAGACATTCCATGTTCATGGATCAGAAGATTCAATATAATTAATAGGGTAGTTTTCCCTAGATCTGTAAATTCTGTATAATCCCTATCAATTCCTGATAGACGTTTTTGGAGAAATTGGGAAGTTGAAATGCAATGGACCTAGAGTAGCTGAAACAATTTTGAAATATAAGAACAAAATTGGAAGATGTACCTTGATTTCAAAACTTATTGTAGAGCCACAGTTATCAAAATACTGAGGGAATTCACCCTTCCTCATTTTCATTGTACTCAGTCTTCAATTGTGGTAATTGTACAAAGATCGGCATATAAATTAAAGGAAGAGAATTGACAATACAGAAATAAATCCTTGAGTTTGCGGTCAATTGTTTTGCAGCAAAGGTGCCAACACAATTCAGTGAGGAAAAGATAGGCTTTAAACAATTGGTGGACAAAATTGGATGTTTACATACAAGAAAATTTTGATGCTTACCACATACCAGTCAAAAAAATTAACTCAAAATATATTATAGGCCTATATGTGAGAAGTAAAACTATAAAATGTCAGAAAGAAAACATAGGAGAAAAACTTTCTGATGTTGGGAAAGGCAAACAGTTCTCAGATGTGACACTAAAAGCATAATCCACAGAAGAAAAAATTGAGAAATTGGACTCAACCAACATGTAAAACTTTTGTGTTTCAAAATTGACCACTAAGTAAATGAAGAAATAAGCCACAGACTGATACAACATTTGTATATCATGTGTCTGATAAAGCACTTTTTATTAGTCTGCATTCTTCAGAGAAACAAAACCAATAGGATATGTATAGATATGTAAGAGGAGATTTATTATGGGAATTGGCTCATATGACCATGGAGGCTGAGAAATCCCACAATACACCATCTACAGCTGGAGACCCAGGAAAGCCAGTGGTGTAATTCAATCCTAATTTGAAGGCCAGGGGAGCCCATGACTGAGCCCAAGGCTTGAAGGCCTAAGGAGAGAGGGATGGGGTAAGAAGTGAAGGACAGAGAACCAAGAGCTCCTGCTATCCAAGAGGAGGAGAATATAGATTCCCAGCTTGAGCAGAAGAGGGAATTCACCCTTTCTCCTTCTCATTGTATTCAGTCCTCAATTGACTGGATGATGCTCACCATACTGGAGAGAGCAGTCCGCATTACTAAGCCCACTGGTTCAAGTACTAATCTCTCTGGAAATGCCATCACAGATATACCCAGAAATCATGTTTTACCAGCTCTCTAAGGTCACTTAATCCAGTCAAGCTGACACATAAAATTAACTATCACAGAGTTGTATTCAGAATGTATATAGAATTCTAACAACTCAGTGATAAAATGCAAACAGCTCAATAAATGAGTAAAAGATTTGATTAGTCATTTCACCGAAGAAGATATACAAATGACCAATCAGCACATGAAAAGATGCTCAACAACATACATTAAAACTGTTATTTTACACTAACTAGAATGGTAATAATCAAAATACACACAAGAGCAAGTATTGGCAAGGATGTGGAGATGAATGTATACATTATTGATTGGAACATATAGTGGTATAGCCACCTTGGAAAACAATTTGGCGGTTTCTCAAAAAATTAAAGATAAACTCAACATACAACCTAGCAATTCCACTCTTAGGAATCTACCCAAAAGAAATCAAAACATATTTTCATATAAAGATATATACATGAATGTTTATGGTAGCATTATTTATAATAGCAAAAACTGTTAAATGTCCATCAACTAGATAAACAAAATGTGCTGTATTCTATATACAGTGGGATACTAGTCAGCAATAAAAAGGAATGAACTGTGGATACATGCTACCATATTGATAAACCTCAAAGACATTATGTTTAGTGAAAGAAACCTGACACAAAAGACTACATACTAATGTATGATTCCATTGATCTGAAATGTCTAGAAAAGGTGGGTTTACTAGAGACACAGAGTAGATTGCTAGTTGCCTGTAGGTGGGGATAGGAATGAAGATTATCTGTAAATAGGTACAAGGCAAATTTTTGTAGTGATGAAAATGTTCTACACTTGATTTTAGCCAAAAGGCCGAGAAGAGATGAAGAAAATGTTCTAAAGTGAATTGTGATAATTGCACAACTTTTGAAATATTTTTTAAAAATTACTGAATTGTACAAATTGAATAAATTTTATGGCATGAAAATTATACTTCAGTGAACCTTTTACAAAATAATTACCTTGTTTTTTGTGGTAGAAAGAACTGTGACAGCCTATTTCTCTGAGATTCTAGGCTTTGAATGTAATAACTAATTCTGCCATCTGTTTCTCACTACTCTTTGTATTGATCAGTTCTATTCACTGATGTTTACATTTCATTAGGAGGCTACAGGAAAATTTGTCTTCTATTAAGCTATATTAAAAAAATTTCTCTTTACCCCATGAACAGACGCCCAAATAGTTTAGAGTCTCCCTTCTCTTTGATACAAAGTGTATGCAAATATATTTAAATTTATAATGTAAAAATGTGTTCATTTAAGATAACTATTACAATTAATAAAGACATGTGAATAGAATTTTATATGCACTTCCCAGCTGCTATAATTTCTTCTTTTTATATCATTAAAGCAGTGAATTATTAATTATACTGTTATTAATCAACTTTTATTGAACCTGTACATTATAATGGCACTGTAATGACAGCTTACCTGAATGAATACAACATGTATAATACCTCTGTGGCTAGTCTAAATCATTTGTTTAACCATGAATTGTAGATTGAAACCTCTCTAGTATTCATTAGTCTAACATGAATAGAACTTTTCAGAATTATAGATATTATGAATGAATAAGCACAGATAATTCATGATTTATTATTGTGATATAATTAATCATATCACATTGAATTCTTTTTCTTGCAGACGTATTTCATTAGCTAGTCCACGTCAGCTTTTTAAGGCTTCTAATATGACCCAGCGATGGCAACACAGAGAGATATCTAATTTTGAGTACTTGATGTTTCTCAACACGATAGCAGGTAACCTAATTCCATGTATTGATTTATTTTAGACAATAAATTATTAATTTCAATTGTTAGATTATTTTAAGTAGTGGTATAACTAGCTTGTTTTATTGCCGTTATTGCTACTAGAATACTACAAAGGATATACAAAGAGAATAAGGTATGTTGCTTACTCTCATAGAAGTCATTTTAAGTACAAATGTGAATGTTTACATGATTCTAGAGCAAGGGGATATAGATTCAGTAAAAAACTCAAAGTACTGTGGTGATTAAAAGGACAGGGAGAGAGGGAAATTATATTCACCCAGTTGGTGGGAGTAAGGAGAAAATAAGGTTTCAATGGTTGTATAAGGATGGATACTATTTGACTAGCAGAGGAGGTGGTTGGAATGTTAGATGTCATTCCATGTAAGACTGAAAGCATAAGCAAACATACAAAGATGGGAAAATATAAAGTATACCTAGAGAGCAAGAATGGTATAGTTTGTATATCTATGTATATACTGTATATTTTTGTGTGCATGAAGTATATATTCATAAAGATATAATGGGAAAAAATAAGAATGTTAGAAATGCGAAGAACGATTTTCTTGTCAGTTTGAAGAGTTAGCGTCAGTTCATTGGGAAACTTTTGAAAGTTTTTGAGCACCTAAGTGATATTAGAGCTGCATCAAAAATTAACTTGGAGGCTGTGTGTGTAAGATAAATTTGGGTGGCTAGAGACTAGGCAGAAAGTAAAGTTAGGAAGTAATTTAGTGTGTGGTGTGTGTGTGTGTGTGTGTGTGTGTGTGTGTGTGTAGTAATGAGGGCTTCCATTAGGTATCAGTGGGAATTAAAAAAGAAGGAACAAATTCTATAAGAATTCACAAGGCACCAACCATTTGATATGCAGCTGACTGAATGTAGGTGGTAAATGAGAAGAAAGTATCTGAAAAGACTTCCAGGCTTCTGGCCTGCGTTAGTGGGAAAATGGTGGTGCAATTAATGGAAAAAGAAGTCAGAAAATTTGATCTAGGGAAAGATGATGATTTTACTGTGCCGGCAGACTTTCTAGTTAAGGTATCAGAGTTTTTGGAAGTATAGGTCAAGGAGGATATTCGGAACTTAGAACTAGGACATTGGATTTCATCTGCATAGAGAGGAAATCACCAAGAGATGTGAGATCAGCAAGGAAGATAATACAGAAAGCAGTGAGATAAGACAGGGAAATTCTCTTGCATATGAGAAGAGAGAAGGAAAGTTAGTAAAGGACAAAAAGGAATGAGTGATCCTAGAATGTGCAGATATAGTAGGAGAACTGAGGTAAGTCAGATGTCTTGAGAGGCAAGGTGAAAGAGGGAGGAAGGCATTTTCACCTGTGTCAAATGTTACAGAGTGGAGAGGGAGACTTCAGAATGAATGGTTGGAAATGAAATAGTAACTGTAGATGTAATTACAGGTCTTTTTTATTTTTTTGAGACGGAGTTGCTCTCCTCTTCCCCAGGCTGGAGTGCAATGGCACGATCTCGGCTCACTGCAACCTCCGCCTCCCAGGTTCAAGCGATTCTCCTGCCTCAGCCTCCCAAGTAGCTGGGATTTTAGGCTCCTGCCACCACACCCGGCTAATTTTTGTATTTTTAGTAGAGACGGGGTTTCACCATGTTGGCCAGGCTGGTCTTGAACTCCTGACCTCAGGTTATCTGCCCGCCTCTACCTCCCAAAGTGCTAGGATTACAGGCGTGAGCCACCACGCCCTGCCAATTATGGTTATTTTAAATGTGTTATTAAAGAGAAGATGGGTTGGGGCAGAGAGGAGAAATGATGTAAGAGGAGGAGAGAAGAAAAGTAACAATTCAAGTTATGAGGGAGACAGGTTTGAGAGCTCAGGTGAAGCAATTACTCTTAGCAAAGAAAAGACCCTGTTAGAGAAATGGGAAAGAGTGAGGGGATGTTGCAAAGAATTGGAAGTTGAGGGGCTCACATTGAAAGTTCTAAATTTTATTAGAAGTTTATCTCACAGTCAGCTGAGGAAAAGGGATGAAGAAAATGTCAATGGTTATGTTGAATTTAGTAGAAATTATAGAACTAGTGACTAAAAGAATTTTTAAGTAGTGAGAGGAAACTTATATAACAAGTTTAATGGACATATTTTGCATGTAGTAAATCAATTAACCCATGTTGAATGCACAGTTATGATTATGGAGCAACATTTATGAAATCATGTGTTCTCAAATAGCTTTTATTGTGCCTGCAGTGTCCTTTAAGTATATTCCCTGTATATGTTTTATAAATATAGAATCTATCATTTGCTTTAGATTTTTTAAATGTGCATTAGAGGATGGAGTTAAGTCTCACTTAAGATTTCTTTTACATTATTATTTGTGCCACATATAGATAAACATGATATCATGATGCATTTCCCAAATGGCCATCAGTTGATATTCAATAACTGTGTATTGAGTTTAACTTAATTAAGTCTAATCACTGAGCAGGTCCATACTCTTCATTTTTTAGGTACAATAAAAAATTATTTCTGATTATTTAAGTAGATGGGACAAGACGATTTTACTGTTTACCAACATTTAAATCAGAAGGAGAAGGAAGTGGGGGAGCATAAAATTTTTTTTTCTGCTGCTATGTTTGGTTTTTTTAATGGAGAAATTAAAATTATTGATAGAAATATGTAGTGACATTAATGATCTATGAATTAAAAATGTCATTGTTATGATGTTTTATAAGACTGTTCCAGGTCAGCCAAAAATGAACTCTGTTACCCTAATAGGCCTCAAGCCTAAGATGAATAGAGTAAAATAAAAAGTTAAAAACATCAGACCTAAAAAAGGCTTAGATACCAAGAGTATGTACAGAGAACTACTTTAATATTCAGCTACGTATTGATATAACATCAGTATATATTTGAGAAAGAAAAAGGAATGGAAATGATAGAATATATAATAAGAAAGGAATTCAAACAATATTAATATACTTGTCTCTATGTTCACCGTAAAAGTCTGTTCATGTTAAATCTAACTAAAAATATGTATAGACTAGTAAATAGGAACTGGGATTCAAACACCAGCATTTTGATTCCAGAAACAATGATCTCACCCACTATGCTACCTCCCTAAAAAGGTAATATCCAAAAAACTGCTGTACATATGTAGAAGGACTACCTCCTCTTTTGCTGTAATTTGTATTTTTAATAAATCTAAATATGTCATTGAAAATGTCATTAGAAAGATGTATAGAAGAGCATGTGGCCACATTTGGGCATGTAAGGAAGCAACATTGATAATACTGCTCATTATTTTCAGAGGATTATAGGATTTGAAAACTACCACAGACATTTCAGAATTATTTAGTGCAATGCCCTCATTTTATAGATGACTGGTGAATGTCCACCAGGGTTAAGTCATTTAAACTTGATTGCTTAGTTGGTTGATTATTAATGGCAGAGAAAGGATTCTTGTTTTGAAAAACTGTGAGAATTACAAATAGCTTTTTAAAGTCATAAAAAAAAGAGTATTTTATTTGGGGCAGGCTTTCAAGTGATAAAAAAAATTATCAAATGTAGTTTAAAAGAACACAAACTTAGGACCAGAAAATCTGGATTTCAATATGGTTTGACCATTACTAGTTGTGTGATTTGGGGCAAGTTACCTAACCTTTTGTGACTCAATTTTTTCATCTGTGAAATGGAGATGATACAATTTCATAGGATTGTTGTGAGGATTAAATGAGAGAAAGTATGGATACTGAGAATGATGTCTGGCAATCAAAAATTGTTTAATCTTATTTTTAGTAAATTATATTACTGAATCTGTTTATTTCACTTTTAAAATTATAAATTACGAGTAACTTTTTTCCCTATCAGGACGGAGTTATAATGACTTAAATCAGTATCCAGTGTTTCCTTGGGTCATCACTAATTATGAATCAGAAGAACTGGATCTTACCTTGCCCACCAACTTCAGAGATTTGTCCAAGGTAATTTCTCAGTAATGATGTGAAATATAATTGTCTTGCATATAAAAATAAATTGGATTGTCTTTCGTTATTTTACTTAACTTAAAAATTTTTTTCAAATATAGTCGTACCTTTAATATAATTATCTCTTAAACAGATTTTCAAATGGAAAAATTTAATGTGCATGATAAACACTACTTCTCTTTTGTGATGTTAGCACTGATATTCAGTGCATGGATTCATTAATTTAGTAAGCATTGCCAAATTGTGGTATTTAAAATATCACTTTTATTTCACTTATTTATGGGACTCATTCTATAAAGAGACACTTCCTCTCTTCTACTACTGGGGTATCCAGTGGTACATTGCAGAGAAAAGACAGGATAGAAGTTTAATTCTTTCTCTTTTCTGTTAATTTACATAACAGTTTTCAAAATATTGAGTTGATTCCTAGCATTCTCCAATGGTATCAAACTGACTATTAAAAAAGTATCTTTATGAACTCATAGATTTCAATGTATTTGATGTTTCAATCCATTGCAGTTATTTACTGATGTTCAGTTGTTCTTTCTTTGACCGGGGGAGCTTCTTGAAGTTATTACTGGGACATTTTTGACACTGTTTGTAGTCTTTGATAACTTTCATGCTCTCTGGTATGACCAGGCACTCTAGTCTTAACCCTTACATTTTCTGGCCCAGATACAGAATCATCTGTTTCTTTGAGGAGCCCGGGTGGGACCTCTTATAGTGGGAATTAATATCTGGAGATCACAGTTTTGTCTATTCTGCTTATTGCTACTGAATTTGTCATTATTTCTATCCCTTTTTTAGAGGGTGCTAGGAAAAAAATTAGGATGAAATACATTATGAGTTCAAACTGATTCCTCCAATTTATATTCAGAATTGTATTTCCTTTAATGTCTGAGTACAAAGTCTCTACCCTCATTTTTTAGGTGAGTGGAATATCCAGTCTTTTTCCTAAAGCTTCTTTCCTTAGTAATTTCTAGGAACAGCTAACAAATGTTTATGTCTTCTACATCTTTGACCTGGAGACTTTTTGTTGCTTCTTCCCTGTCTGTACCCTGACCCAGTGTTGGTCCTTTATTCCTGTATGTCACTCTTACATTCTCAAAACACCAGATTTCTTGCTGTTAGTACTAACTTTTTTCAAGGGTATACATAGTCATTTCCCTTAACTCTTCTAAATCCATCTTAGGCCACAGGTAAGTGTTTATGTAAAGCTCCACTGAATACCCAATCATAGCAGAAATGCAAGGCTCTCAGTGATTCACAGTCTCAGTCAGAAGATCATTGCCCAGTGTCTGCAGATCCCAGCATGAGAAGTACAAGTTCACTCAACATATCCAGTGTCCTTTACTTAGAGCTCAGGGACTCTAAGAGTGTGTTCTCTTATTTACTCATTCCAGGAAGATGTTCAGGAGTAATTCCTACTCTCTATCCACAGGATAGGATCTTCACACAGTTCAGACAATCACAATAGTTACCGAGGATGTCAAAACGAAGGTTAACATTTTCCTCATGACAAACAATAGTGTTTAGGATCTAGCCATTGTCTGTTTTATTACCACGTCTTCTGTCTCTGTCCCCATCTTTGCTGTATCATCTGATCCTGTGATGCCTCATGTTCACCTCTTGTGCTTTTGCTGTTGGCTCTTTTCTTTATCTAGAAATTTGAACTCCCAGGGTACTTTCCATATACTTGTTATAATACATTTCATAATTTATTATAATTTTAACATTTTCTTCTCTGTGTTCCCTATTAAGCAAAATCATTGAATACAAAGATTTTGTTTTGTTAATTTCTGTATCTCTTGTGCCTGATATAGTGCTTAGAGCTAAGAAATTGTACCAGTTTCTATATCTACTTACTGAACTCTAAAAGGGAGTTTTAATTTTCAGAGGAAAGCCTTATTCATGGATCACATGTCTAATAAGGGATTAATATCAAGAATTTGTAGAGACTCCTAAAACTCAACAACATTCAAAAATGGGTAAAGAACCTGATAGACATTTCTCCAAAGAGGATATACAAGTGGCCAATGAGATGAAAATGAACATCACTAATTATTAGGGAAATGTAAATCAAAATCACAATAAGATACCACTTCACAACCATTAGGAAGATTGTTAATGAAAACAAACCCAGAAAATCACAAGTGTTGGCACGGATGTGGAAAATTGGAACCCTTGTGCATGCTGGTGCGAAAGTATGATAGTGCAGCTTATATGTCAAACAGTATGGTAGTTTCTCAAAAAATTAAAAAGAATTGAAAGTAGGGATAAGAACAGATAATTTTACACCCATGTTCATATTTGTAGCAGCGTGACACACAACAGCTAAGAGATAGAAACAACCCAAATGTCCATCGACAGATAAATGGGTAAACAAAATATGGTATATACATACAATGTAATATTATTCAGCCTTAAAAAGGAAGGAAGCTCTGACATATGCTACAACATGAATAACCCTTGAGGATGTTATGCTAGGTGAAATAAGCCAGTCCCAAAAAGGCAAATACTGTATGATTCCATTCATATGAGGTACTTAGAGTTGTGAAATTTATAGAGACAAAAAGTAGAATACTGGTTGCCAGGGCCTGGGGTGAGGGAGAGAATGAGGAGTTAGTGTTTCATGTAATAGGTATAGAGTTTCAGGATTGCAAGTTGAAAAAAGTTCTCAAGATGGATAGTGGTGATGATTGTTCAACAATGTGAATGTATTTAATACTACCGAACTGTACGTTTATGTTATGTATATTTTGCCACCATTAATAAAAGAGAAACCAGCAAGAAAAAAAAAGTTAGCAAACTAGAAACAATTTGAAAAAGTGCTTGTGTGTTTCTGCTCTTGCTTCTCTGTGATCACTTTGAGAATATGCCCTAAACATTCCCAAGTTAACCTGCTGATGGGTTGTGACTGACACATGGAGGACACTTGAGCTGTGACAGCTTAGGTCATCCTTAACAAGCTAGTCCTCAGCTGACCTGCCAGCTGACCACAAACGTATGAAGGAGTCCAACTAAGAGCAACAAAGCCAGGCCCAGATCAGCAGAATTTCCCAATTGACCCATTGACCATGAGGAATGATAAATGGTTGGTTTAAAAAAAATTGAAAAGAAAAGGAAGGCCTTACACCTCGGTATCATATTTGTTCTAAGACCCCATAGTATTATGGAATCTGTAGAGCTCTGTAGTCTAATAAATGAGGACTGTATTAGTTTGACTTGTGTAATGAGCCATGCAGTAGGTCAATAATAAAAACTGGGCAGCTCTTTAATCCTCAGGCTATTATACCCTACTCTCTCTCTATGGTTTGAATTTTGTGTTTGCAAAAGTAAAAATATCATTTTTGGGGGGTTGATTTTGTTAGAATATAAAATTTGCTTCACAAAATGAATGACATATATATGAATACGTGTTCTAGGGTCCTAGAAGTATTGCCTTGCCTTCTGTTTCAGGGCTGAATCCACAGTTTGGACTCTATTTCAGCACATAGCTTATTCAGATGTTTTTTGTGCTTTAGATGAGTTTTTAGAAATCTCTTTAAGATGTGATGAGTACTAAGATGGATTGTGGGCTGGACTCGGGCTGGACTCATGATTCAGTCTTGATGAAACAGTACCTAATGGTGACAAGTGGGAGGTTATTTTTTTTTTTTTGAGGATATGTTTTTCTCTTCCTCCATCTTTGTACCTGACCAAAAGTTCTCATAACCCTTTTACCTCATCCTAACACCACCCTTTTTTACCAACTGCCTCCATTCTCTGCCCCTCATCTTTGTTACCTATTCTACTAAAAATGTTAAATGACCAGAAGGAAGCCTCCAGGACATTTTTATTATGTAGGCTGTATGATTTTTATTATGAATGTTCATTGAAATTATATCAGAAAAATGCTATTGTAGATTAGTGGCCAGCTAAACAGAATCCTTTATTAAAATCAAATTTTATTTGTATATTACAGCTGTACCTAAGGAACTTGTGAAATACTTTTGTTGGGTGGGTAAAATATTATTTTAACTAATGCCTTTTCTTCAGGATATGAGAAATAAGGTTACCTTATGCCCCAGTAGATGATCAATAGTAATTTTGCTTTTTTATTTTGCTACATTAAAAGTAAAAAAGGGGGGGCTGCAAAACAAAACAAAACTGTTGCTTTCATTAACCTCTATCCAAATATGTCCACATCCACTAAACAAAGACATAAGAAATGTCATTTGTGTAATTTTGTGACTTCAATTGTAATGGCATTCATTTTTATATTTTTAGAAATTTTGTGAAATATTTGCCCTTTTGGCTGAGGAAGGAATAGTTATAAAAAGTGCTTTCAACAAGAACTGAAGGGCACACAGTTGAATAATGAACAGTAGTGTAATTAGTAGGTCTGGGGAGAAGTGAGGAGCTCTAACATTCTACCGCCTTACAACTAATATCTCCTTTCCTATAAACCAATGGTAGTGTGAATGCTACAAAAGTCATTCAGGTTCATGAGAATGGAATTCTACTAGTACTAATTGCTTTCATTAAATATTGATGAAATAAGTGAGTTTGGAATCAACTGCATTTAGTGAAATAATCAAGCACATCAGATATTTGAAAATTGTACTTTGCACATATAAAATAGCGGTGATTGTTTACTTAGTAAAAGTACCTCATTCCTTTTAGTATTAAGGCTTGCCAAAATGTTTACAGTGTGATTCAGTTTTCAAATATTTGTTTATACACACATTTTCAAGAATACATCTCATATATAAATGAGCTCTATCTGTACAAATAATGATTATAATAGAATTGTATTAAAATTTGTCCCATAGTATACATTTTGTAAACATTACTGTTTGTTTAAATAAACTTGTGAAATCTTAGAAAACATTGTATGCATAGCTTAATGTAGAATACAAACAGATCTTATCTCCGTTCTTAAGTGGATAATATTGCCTGACTGGCTTTAAAATGTATTGAATTATTTATGCATATTTATATCTATTTAATTTTGCCAAAGCTGTTTTTCAGAGGACTTTTAGTACCTTTGATACAAAGCTACAATTTTATTTGGTAATCTCTTCCATGTTGCACTGGGAATTCTCTTTCTGAAGCTGAATTAATGTAATCAGCATCCTTTCTTCTGTATTATTTTTCTGATCTTCTTTTAAGAAAAAAAAAGTCTGAATGGAGCAGTGTAAAAAATGTCTTTTTAAATGTATAAGCTTTTATTCCATGTACAATATATCTCTTTATAATCATTCCAAATTAGTATCATAAGTACATTGAGAAGATCAAATCTATTTTATTCTGAAAGACTGGTGAAAATTAAATCTTTTCTTGTATTGCAAAAGTCCTCATTTAGCATAAAATGGTTTAATTTATTCTTTCAAAGCTGAAAAAAATAGGAATCAATTTTGAGGTTGATTTCTTTTCCCTCTACTTTCCCAGTTATTTCATCAGTAGTCTGAAATTCTGACTGATGAGAAGACAGATCTAACCATGCATAGAATTTGGAGTGACATTAATCCATATTTTATAAACATACATTGATTTTATATTTTGACAACCTCCTTGGAAGAGATAAGATTCAACATTTTCTTTTTGACATTTCTTTATAAGAATTTATAATCAGCGCAGGAATATATTTACAAAATGTCATACCATAAAAGTAAATTATGATGGCTGAGTTTTTCAGTACCAGGGCTTCCTTTGTAGATTAGGATGATTTCCTTTGTACCTGTGATTTATTATTTTTTCTTTACTTTGGAAAGTGATTGTGTAAAACAGATTTTCTGAGAGAGGGAAACCAAGACAATCTGAGGCAATCATGTTTCTTCTAGTTGACCAGTGTAGTTATTTTAGAATATATAATATGTATTTGTATAGTAATCTGGGTACCTTTTAAAAAAACCAGCATGTTCTTGGATTGAAATGCAATTGATAACTATTCCACTTGCCAATGAAAACCCAATTATCTTGGCTATGAAATTCACAAGACAGGATCATCCACTTTATTATTATTGTTAACTAATATTTATTGAGCATTTACTATATGCCAGGCATTTGTCTAAGTGTTTTGTGTGTGGTAATTCCTTTAACCTTCACAAAATCCCTTTAAGTAGGTAACATTATTGTTTTTTACAGAGGCAGAAACTAATGCACCATGAGGTCAAGTTGCACGTAGGTAGAATCAGAATTTGAACACTAAGTTTTCAACCTGTAGCTCACAATTGCGTTTTTAAAAAATGAATGGGATACCGTAGCATAACATAAAAAAGAAACCATCACTGTGCATATTGTATAAATCTTCTGCTCAATTTGTTTGAGTGTATGTACATGTGTGTTTTTTAAAGTAACATATTTCTTAACGTGAGCTTTGGCCCAGAAAGTTTGAGAAACTCTGTAATATGCCAATAGTGCCTTCCACTTTTGGCACCAGTTGCTGGTTCTGTTTTAATGTTATTTATGAAGTTGCCTTTCACTTCTCATGCTGAAGTACCTAGTACCTACAAGCAGCATGCTATTGCTTGAAAAAGGAAAGCTTTTTTTCTTTTCAAATTGCCCTACTCTTGTTGTCTTTATCCCAGGTTATGCTCCAGCCTTTTTTGATTAAACCTATTTTACAAAAAAAGCTGAATGTTCGGTTAAAACTAGAGGATCCCCAGTGTTACTGCTTATTCATTTGTTCATTCATTTATTGGTTGTTAATTGAGTACTGTAATATGCCATGGACTGCTAGTTTCTGAAGATGTGAAAGAATAAAATGAAGTCATTACTATCCTAGTAAAAGAATAAGCTGAAGATTTGGGAGAAACAGGAATGGCCAAGATAAAGCAAATACTTACTTTTTAATAATTACAACTCACATTTTTAAAATGAAGGAAAATAGAGAGTTTGAGGAACAAGGTAAAGAAAAATCTGTTTTTCATCTTTAGATTGTAACCACAAAATGAGCTGTTATTTTGGTCCATAGTGCAGAAACAGGAAAATAAAGAGTAGAAGAAAATGAACCTGCACCATGATCTCCTGATTCCTATCTTGCAACATAGGAATCAGAGGAAAATTGACTAAAACTGAATTTTAAATTTTTGTCTAAGCTCTAAGAAATCATGTTTGTTTTGTTTCGTTTTGTTTTTAAACCTATGTTACAATGCTAGACTATTCACACTCTGTTAACCTAGCAGTTTACATTGCCCTAGTTTGGATCCAAATAGTTCTAAAGAGTAGATTCTGACAAAACCGAAGAGAACTGAGTGACAGAACCATAGTGAATTTGTTATTCATTGCTGAGTTGCTCCTGTTTGTGCTTAGTATATGTTTCTGTTTCTCGCTCTCTCTTTCAGGAAAAGTAAGTGATTTTTTTTTCTCTCCTTCATGTATCTCCTACCATTTGGATGTATATTTTTATGTGTGAGATATTTCTGTTTAACACACACATTTAATATACAGCATGCATCTTGACCTGGAATTGACTACCGACATTTAACTGTTGTTGATCAGACAGCACTTCTTTATCTCTTTAAGTTTTAAGTGCTGTTTCTGATGAATGCCAGTCCTTTTAGTCTGCTCTGTAACAGATACACTGGGAATCAATATACCATCTAGATGTCACAGAGGGAAAAGAACACTCTTGGGGGTGGGGGGAATATTGTTTAAACTTGTTAGGTGTTATGGCTTTTACTTCATTTTTCTATTTATTGGGCTTCAGTGAAGCTAAAGGAATTCAAGCTTACCAAAAGAAACACATCTTATGATACTACAACAGTAAATAATAGATCTTAAATTGTTTAAATAAAATATAAATGCAGAGAAAGAAACTAAAAATTACCCCATACTTGATTATGTTTTGGATATGTTTTATTGGCTGACATAATATGTTAAAATAGTTTAATCTTGGCATCAAACATGGATGCTGTTGTATGCCACATTGATTTTAGAGATTATGATATAAATTACATTGTCTGGCCTTGGAAAGTTTGCAGTCTAATAAGCATAAAAATGATATGGGGAGAGTTCCCAACGTATTTGTAGGATTGTGAGGGAAGCCCTAATAGGTGCTTTCCACTATGACAGGCATTTTACATATGCTGTTTCATTTAATTCCTTCAATAACCCTGTAAGGAATGTGTTATTGTCTTTATTTTACAGATAAGGAAACTAAGATTTAGTGAGGTTAAAGAATTCTGGGAGGTCACACATTTTCCAAGTGGTAAGCTCAGGATTTGATCTCAAATCTGTCTGTCAGTCAACTGGTAGACTTTAGGTATAATCTGAAAGAACATTTTAAATTCAATACTTGCTTTATATCTGCTTCATTCCAAAATCCAACTACTCTTCCCTCTGTATTGTCAAAAAGCAAGAGATTGACTTTTTTGGAGAAATTTTACCAGACACGTTTCTGATATGAGAACACCAAGCACACCAGAAGGAGGGTTTAAGGTAAAGGATGGAAAACAGGAGGATTATAACTGAAAGCTTTAAGTACCAAGTCGTGAAAGCCCCTAGACCCCTTCTGCTGTCATGCTATTAGAACTGCGGCAGCTAAGCTTATACCATCCCCACCCCATAAGACAGAAGATTGTATTACTCTTTGGACATATTCACTGGCTCAAAAGAAAACACCTAAAAAAATAAAACATTTAGGGATTCTACTTCGAGCCCACTTGATTTCCCTTCAGTGAAGTCTACCAGTTCACATCACTACTTATGGTCTATATGCTCAGTCAGCTCTTCAGTGTCTCATTCTTAAAAATGGAGGTGCAGCCAAGTATTAGCAAACATTTAAAGACAACCTCTAATGTGAAAGATGACAAAGACCAAAGCAAATAGAAAATCAAAACAAAACCAGAAGAAACAGAGGCAATTTATGAAACAGAAGTGTTTTTTTAAAAAAAAAAAAACTAGAATAAATATTTTCAGATAAAGGGAAACTATTGCATTAATAGAACAAGAAAATTATGCTATGGAAAGTGAATAATCATAAAACAAGAAAGAGCAGTATAAAAATTAATAGAAGAGTTATAAATGCAGATATCTTCTAAAAGGAATATCAACATGATGTGGAGAAAACAGCCTGGAAAGATAAAATTAGACCAGAGCAGGGAATCTTTGGATTTAGATAGAGTTGTATATTCCTGTTACCATTTATAAGTAGAGAGACCTTTAGCAGATTACTTAATTTTGAGGATCCTAGGTAGCAAACTGTGTAGCTATTTAATTTATATAACCCTGAAGAAAATTTTTCATGGGTACACTGACCTTTTTAAATTGAATTATTACGTGTTCAATGTGGCATGTTAGTTTAAAATGTGTCTGTGCAACTCTTTATGTAGAATTTAATACTAAGTTCAGGAAAGTGGAAGCATATATATTTAAGGAATATATATGTATATGGATGTTATAAGGCATTTACAGGATTTGTTGAAGTTTTGCTTTTAAAACAGAATTAGTCCATTTATTTTGTATGGCTGTGTTTCGAAACTTACATCTTTTAAGCATTAGTACTCTGTATAGCAGATTTGGTTTTCTGTAGAAGTTATCTTCTAATAGAAGTTTTTGAATGACTCTAACAGACGTTAATTCTACACTTAATTCAAGCAGCCTCCAAAGACATTGTTTTTTAACATTAGTCAGAAAATGATAAACTGAAGCAACTGAAATGGATTGTGGTTAATATTACTGTCAGGGTGATGAATAATCCTGACATATACCAGCAACACACTGCCAGTCAGTAATCCTTCTCAAAGTTAAGTATTTATTCTCTAATCATGCTAAGTTACTGTGATGTGGAGTGACTATTTATTATTATTTATAAATGAATTGTTTTATTTGCATAGCATTATTAATTTTATCCCATAATGCTTTGTATTTGTTTGGTGCTGGGTGTACAAACTGAGGTAGGTTTAGAGTAGGGAATATCTACTGTGAATTTACATAGGAACTATTTTCAAAACACCTAGGAAATTTTTTTTAAGTTTAATTAGTAGTAGTAACTATCCTCCTGATTTGGCTATTTTTTTTTAATTATAGAAAGTGAATTTAGTAGAAGGACATTTAAAAAACATGTATGCATTTGTAGCTTTTAAAATATACTTGCATGTATCAACTTCTGATTCTTATCTTGCCTATGATTTTAAAAGTTACTTTGTATGTGAATATGTACTATGCTTTTTTACAGTGGATAATGTAATAAATATATTTTATTCTTATGTTCAAATTCCTGTCCAATTCTATTCTCCAAGTTCTATTCAATGTGTTTGTTCAAATAATTGTTAAGTATTTGCTGGGCATCTTTTGTCTACACTATTCTGAGGACTCTTCCAGAAACAAAAGTGAGTTAAATTGTTCGTACTTTTAAAGACCTTTATAATTGCATGCATGTTATATTTAAAACATTTATACAAGACTAATAAGACAACATTTTTCAGTAGCTTAATTTTTAGATTGTCTTACTTTCAGAAAAGGAATTTTTTAAAAAGTGTGAATCCAAAATTTATCATTTGAAGCAAGTTTTTGGAAGTGGAAAGGAGTAAATTCTGCAAACAAAATCATATTATTGTGGGAGCAATATAAAAATTAGAATAGACAAATAGTTTTTTTAATTTAGAGGAAAAGAAAATCAGTAGTTTTACTGGGATACACATCCCGTTGAACTGCATTAACTTATTTACTTTAAAAAGAAAAGATTTTACAAATCCACATACCTACAGTGGACTCATTTTTGACAAAGGTGCCAAGAACGTACACTGGGGAGAAGACAGTCTCTTCAATAAATAGTGCTGGGAAAACTGGATATTCATATGCAGAAGAATGAAACTAGAACCTTATCTCTAACCATATACAAAAATCAAATCAAAATGAATTAAAGACTTGAATCTAAGAACTCAAACTGTGAAACAAGAAAACATTGGGGAAACTCTCCAAGACATTGGTCTACACAAAGATTTCTTGAGTAGTGCCCCATAAGCACAGGCAACCAAAGCAAAAACGGGCAAATGGGACCACATCAAGTTAAAAAGGCTTCTGCGCAGCAAAGGAAACAATAAAAAACTGAAGAGACAAGCCACAGAATGGGAGAAAATATTAGCAAACCACTCATATGATAAGGGATTAATAACCAGAATATGTAAGGAGCTCAAGCAGGTCTATAGGAAAAACATCTCATAATCCAATTTTTTAAATGGGCACAAGATTTGAATAGACATTTCTCAAAAGAAGGCATACAAATGGCATGCAGGCATATGAAAAGGCACTCAACATCATTGATCATCAGAGAAATGCAAATCAAAGCTTCAATGAGCTATCATCTCACTCCAATTAAAATGGCTTATGTCCAAAAGGCAAGCAATACCAAATGCTGGTGAGCATGTGAAGAAAAGAGAACTCTTGTACACTGTTGGTAGGAACATAAATTAGTGCAACCACTGTGGAGAACAATTTTGAAGCTTCTCAGAAAACTAAAAATGAGCTGCCATATGATCCAACAATTCCACTTCTAGGTGTATACCCTAAAGAAAGGAAATCAGTGTATCAAAGAGGTATCTGCACTCCCAAGTTTGTTGGCAGCACCGTTCACAATAACCAAGATTTGGAAGCAACCTAAGTATCCATCAACAGATGAATGAATAAAGAAAATATGGTGCTTATACACAATGGAGTACTATTCAGCCATAAAAAAGAATGAGATACTGTTATTTGCAACAACATGGATAGAACTAGAGGTCATTATGCTAAGTGAAATAAACCAGGCACAGACAGACAAACATCACATGTTCTCACTTACTTGTGAGGATCTAAAAATCAAAACCATTGAACTAATGGAGATAGAGAGTAGAAGGATGGATGGTTCCCAGAGGCTGGGAAGGGTGGTGAGGGAATGGAGTATAGGTAGGGATGATTAATGAGTACAAAAAAAAATTATCAAGATAGAATAAGACCTAATATTTGATAGCACAACAGGGTGACTATAGTCAACACTAATATAATTGTACATTTAAAAATAATTAAAAATATAATTTGATTGTAACACAAGGGATAAATGCTTGAAGGGGTAGACACTTGATTTTACATGGTATTATTATGCATTGCTTGCCTGTATCAAAACATCTTGGGTATCCCATAAGTATATACACAAACTATGTACCTATAAAAATTAAAAATTAAAAAACATTGAGAATGATGATTTCCAATTTCATCCATGTCCCTACAAAGGACATGAACTCATCATTTTTTATGGCTGCATAGTATTCCATGGTGTATATGTGCCACATTTTCTTAATCCAGCCTATCATTGTTGGACATTTGGGTTGGTTCCAAGTCTTTGCTATTGTGAATAATGCCGCAATAAACATATGTGTGCATGTGTCTTTATAGCAGCATGATTTATAGTCATTTGGGTATATACCCAGTAATGGGATGGCTGGGTCAAATGGTATTTCTATCGCAAGAACAAAAAACCAAACACCACATATTCTCACTCATAGGTGGGAATTGAACAATGAGATCACATGGACACAGGAAGGGGAATATCACACTCTGGGGACTGTGGTGGGGTGGGGGTGGGGGAGGGGATAGCATTGGGAGATATACCTAATGCTAGATGACGAGTTAGTGGGTGCAGCGCACCAGCATGGCACATGTATACATATGTAACTAACCTGCACAATGTGCACATGTACCCTAAAACTTAAACTATAATAAAAAAAATAAAAAATAAAATAAAACTGGAGTAAGCAATAAAAAAAAATAAAAAACACTGAACACCAAAAAAATTAATAATAAGAAATAAAAGTTTTTGGATGGAACTGGAGGTCATTATCCTAAGTGAAGTAACTCAGGAATGGAAAACCAAATACCACATGTTATTACTTGTAAGCGGGAACTAAGCTATGGGTATGCAAAGGCATACAGAGTGGCATAACGGACATTGGAGACTTAGAAGGGAGAAGGCTGAGGGGGAAGGCGAGGGATGAAAGATCACCTATGGTACACTCTTTGGGTGACAAGTATACTAAAAGCCCAGACTTCACTACTATATAACTCATCCACTTAACCAAAAGCTACTTGTACCCCCTAAAGCTATTGAAATTTTTAAAAATTTAAAAAAGAAAAATAAAAGTTTTGATTAGGCCAGTAAATTGGGAAAGTTATAGATCTAGTGTGACCTATCTCAGTAAATTATTTTAAAATCTGAGTGTTACCTGTCTGAAATACAGACAAGGTAATTAAAAGTCGTTAGTAACATTAATAACTGTTCAAATCATCATACAATCCTATTGTTTAATTGTCTTTATAAACTTGAGATATTGCCTTCTTTAGGGCATCTTTTTAGAATTCTGTCCCAGTTTCTGACTTGTTCAGCAGTTTCACTAATATAACAAATTGACCATGTAGCTTACCTTACACAAATTAAAATACAAATTTTTGAGGTTGGTTGTGGTGGCTCACGCCTGTAATCCCAGCACTTTGGGAGGCCAAGGCGGTCAGATCATGAGGTCAGGAGATCAAGACCATCCTGGCCAACATGGTAAAACCCTGTCTCTACTAAAAATACAAAAATTAGTCAGATGTGGTGGTGCGTGCCTGTAATCCCAGCTACTTGGGAGGCTGAGGCAGTAGAATATCTTGAACCAGGGAGTTGGAGGTTGCAGTGAGTGGAGATCGTGCTCTGCCCTCCAGCCTCGGTAACAGTGAGACTCTGTCTCAAAGAAAGAAAAAAAAAACTTTTAAATCGTTTTGATCGAAACATTCACATGAAATATTCAAGTGAAATATGAAGGACTATTATGAATTCTTACATTTAGGGTTGAATTTTTCGTACAGGAAAAGGAAGAAAAGAGGTTTAAGATTAGTCAGTGTTAAATGTATAACACTTGCTGGTGTCTTGTTGGTAGAAAGGAAGATGAAGATGTGCCAGTTGTTCCCAACCTGTGAGCTCTGGTCACTTGAGGGGACTGTGGGTTTGTTGCAAGAGATCTGTGAATAGATAGTGTACGTGTATATATATTAGAGACTGTCTTACAGGAAAAGTTGAAAGCTGCTGATTTAGATTATGTAATTGACTATCTACTTATTTTGACCCAATGGTGTTAATGGGTTTTCTAAAAACAACTTGGATCAAACAGAATTATTACTATTCTTCTGTATTGTGGCTGCTAATGCTACTTATTTTTTGTCTAGAATGTATTGTAAGTTCATGGTAAGAGTTAAGGTTCATTTTTTTGTGTGTAGAAGTCCAATTCTTCTAACACCATTTGTTAGAAAGACTTTTTCTCTGGAGGTCTCCTGGAATCTTTGTTGGAAATCAATCGGCCATATATGTGTAGGTCTATTTCTAGACTCTGTTCTTCACAATTAATCAGTATATCCTTATATCAGTATCACAGTCTTGAGTACTGTGGTTTTATAGTAAATCATGTAATAAAGTCATGTGAATCCTCCAGCTTTATTTTTCTTTTTAAAAATTGTTTGGCTGTTCTAGGCTTTTTGCTTCCTGTTAATTTCTAATTTTTAAAAAGCCTTCTAGATTTTTTATTAGGATTGCATTCAATCTGTAGATCATTTTGGGTAAAAATAAAGTACTAAGAATATTGAATGTTCCAATTCCTTAGTATAGTGTCTTTTCCGCTTATTTAGTCCTTTTTTAGTTTCTCTCAAATGTTCCATAGCTTTTAGCATACAATTCTTACACATATCTTGTTAATTTATCCTTTAAAAATTCATGTTTTTAATCTTGTTATAAAACGTTTAATTCCAGTTGTTTGTTGCCAGTATATAGAAATACAGCTGAATTTTGTAAATTGACCTTGTATTCTGCATCCTTGCTAAACTCAATTATTATTACTAGCAGCCTTTTTGTAGACTTTTTGGGACTTTATACATAAATGGCATTGTGAAATGAAGACTTACTGCACTATACAAGGTTAACAAGTACTGAGAGTGCCTTGTCTTTTGTGTTAGGGGAAAAGTATTCAGTCTTTCGCCCTTAAGTGTGATGTTAGCTATAGGCTTTTCTGTAGGTGCTTCTATTAGGTTAAGTTCCCTTCTTTTTTTTTTTTTTCCTTTGAGATGGAGTCGTGCTCTGTTGCACAGGCTGGAGTGCAGTGGTGAGATCTTGGCTCACTGCAACCTCTGCCTCCCGGGTTCAAGCGATTCTCCTGCCTCAGCCTCCCGAGTAGCTGACACTATAGGTGCACACCACCGCACGCGGCTAATTTTTGTATTTTTAGTAGAGATGGGGTTTCACCATGCTGGCCAGGATGGTCTCCATCTCCTGACCTTGTGATCCGCCTGCCTCGGCCTCCCAAAGAAGTTCCCTTCTATAAGAAGTTTGTTGAGAGTCTTCATCATAATTGGGTATTGACTTTTATCAAATGCTTTTTCTGAAGATAATTGCGTTTTCTTTTTTAGTTGGTTAGTATAGTGAATTACACTGGCTGATTGTATAGTGTTTCCTTTCTGTGATAAACCAGATTGTGATGTATTATCCTTTTAATAAATGGCTGGATCCCATTTGCAAATATTTTCTTAAGACTTTTTGCATATATGTTCCCAAAGGATATTGGCCTGTAATATTGTTTAGTTGTGGCATCACGGTAATGCTTACGTGACAAAATGAGTTTTGAAGTTGTTTTTTCCTCTTCTATTTCCTGGAAAAGATGATATACAATTATTATTTCACCCTTAAATGTTTGGTGGAACTCATGAGTGAAGCCATTTAGGCCAAGAGTTTTGTTTCTGGGAAGGTTTTTTTGTAAAACTTTGAATTCAGTTTCCTTAACAGATAAAGTGCTATTCGGGTTATCTTTTTGTTAATGAGTTTTGGTAGTTTGCATCTTTCACAAAATTTGTTTATTTCATCTAAGTTGTCCCTTCATTCATTCTTGATACTGGCATTTACTTCTTTTTCTCCCTCTGGACCAGTCTGGTTAGAGATTTTATTTATTTTTCTATTGCTTTTTCTGTTTTCAATTCCTATGATCTTTGCTTTCCATACTATATTTTTTCTATTTGATTTAGATTTAATTTATCTTCCTTTTTAGTAACTTAAGGTGCAAACTTTAAACTATTGATTTAAGAACTTTTTTCTTTTTAATATAAGCATTTAGCACTACAAATTTTTCTCAAAGCACTGATTTAGCTGGGTCCAACACATTTTTATATATTGTTTTTATTTTCATCCCATTTAAATGTTTTCTAATTTCTCTTGTAAATTGCTTTTTGACCCATGGATTATTTAGAAATATGTTGTTTAGTTACCATGTATTTGGGGATTTGTCAGATGTCTTTCTTGTGTTTATTTCTAGTTTAATTCCATTGTGGTTGAGGAACATACGCTGTATGATTTCAGTTCTTTTCAGTTACTGAGAATTTGTTCGATGGCTCAGAATATAGTCTACCTTGATTAATGTTCCATGTGCATTTGAAAAGAGTGCATATTCTGTTGTTAAGTATTGTTCTATAAATATCAATTAAGTAAAATTGGTTGAAGATGTCGTTGCTCATGTCTTCTGTATCCGTACTGATTTCTACTTGTCCTGTTGAATCCTGAAAGAAGAGTGTTGAAGTCTCCAACTATAAGTTAGATTTGTCTATATTTTCTTTCAGTTCTGTTAGTTTTTCTATTTGTTTGTTCTGTTTTGTTTTGTTTTGTTTTTGAGACAGAGTCTTGCCCTGTCACTCAGGCTGGAATGCAATGGTGCCATCTTGGCTCATTGCAACCTCTGCCTCCTGGGTTCAAGCAATTCTCATGCCTCGCCTCTTGAGTAGCTAGGATTACAGGCATGTGCCACCCTGCCCAGCTAATTGTATTTTCAGTAGAGACAGGTTTTGCCGTGTTGGCCAGGCTGGTCTCAAACTCCTGGCCTCAAGTGATTTGTCTGCCTTGGCCTCCCAAAGTGCTAGGATTATAGGTGTAAGCCACCCCACCTCACCAAAGTTCTGTTAGTTTTTATTTTACGTGTTTTCAAGTTTATTTTTGGGTACATGTTATGGGTTGAATTTTGTTTCCAAAAAGATATGTTAAAGTCCTAACCTCCAGGTACCTATGAATGTGACCTTATTCATAAATAGGGTTTTTGAAGATGTAATCAATTTAAGATAAGGTCATTAGGGTGGGCCCAAATCCAATATGACTGGTGTTCTTGTATGAAAACGTCATATAAAGACAGACATACAGGGAGAGAACACTATATGACGATGGAAGGAGATATTAGAGTTGTGTTGCTGCAAGCCAAGGAACAGCTGAGCCTACCAGAACCTGGAAGAGGCAAGGAAAGATCCTCCTCTAGAGGCTTCAAAGAGAGCATGAACCTGCCAACAACTTGATTTCAGATTTCTAGCCTCAAGAACTCTGAGGCAATAAGTTTATATTGTTTTAAGCCACCTAGTTTGTGATATTTAGTTATAGGAGCCCTAGGAAACTAATACAGTGCATACACTCTTCAAATTGTTATTTTTTTGATAAAAGAATTCATTTTTCATTATGCAATGTCCCTCTTTATACTTAGTAATATTTCATGTTCTGAAATCTACTTTTTCTGATGTTAATATCCCAGGAGGGCATTATTTTGATTATTACTTGCAGCATTTTTTCTATTATTTTAAGAAGCCTGTCTATGGCTTTATATTTAACTTTTTTTTTATGGACAACATATAATAGAGCCTTGCTTTCATGCCCAGTCTGACAATCTGTGCATTTTAATTGGGGTGTTGAGGTCATTTACATTTAATGTAATTTTTTATATGGTTGGCTTAAATCTACCTTCTTGCTGTTTTTTATTCTACACATCAGTTCTTTGTACTTTGTCTCCCTTTATGTGCTTCTTTTAGATTATTTTTATGATTCTATTTTATCTGAGATAGGAGAACAGTATAGGCTGGGATATGAATAAGATTTTATGCCCAAAGAAGTATATGCTTCTTCTTATGTCAGGTAGTTAGTGTGGGGAGTTCAGTCAATCTAGTCAATAGATAAGCTTAGTTAGGTTTGTTATTGCTATTATTACCTTAAATACAGTATAAACTTCAAATTCTTCTGTAAGAATTTGGCCTGGGTGGTGGATGTTTTTTCTCACTGTTCTTGCTCTACTCTCTAGCCGACCCTCTATGCCTGTGCCACAGAGGCATTTTTTTATGTACTTTTCTGGTTTTTTTTTTTTTTTTCCAGAAGTAGATTGCTGTTGTTGGTAACTCAGTGCCAGGCTTGTTGTGGGGTGGATAGGGTAGCTCCTCAGTTCTCCTGATTCATCCTCATTCTTAAGTAGATCCCATTGAAATGGTCCTCAGGTACGGACTTTCTCAGTGTTCTTGCCTCTACCCCTCATGGCATCCACAGGAAAGAATTTCCTATCCTTCTCCCAGTAGTAGCAGACCTCTTCTTTGCATCAGTGCAGGACATGTCTTCTTGAAAGGGCTTTTGCTTTTACCCTACCCCAGAAGCAGTGGATCTTTGCCTGGGTCCTAGGGGTGGTACACAGGATTTTCTATCCCTTTTCCTGCGGTAGATTAGTTTTGCTCGTACTCTTTCCCCATGTGCAAGTTGATATTTGCTTAGGACCTGGAATGAGAGTTTGGTGTTCCTCTCCCATCAGCTTAAGGATTTTGATTTCTGTTTTGTTGCCATTCCCAGTAACTGTAAATCATATCCTGTGTGCCTGTGTTACTTAGAGAGCTACCCCCTGGTCTTCTACCTTGCCTCAGTCGTATTCTCTCTCATGAGCAATGGGAGAGGCCCGTGGAAAAGAGCTTACAAGTGCATGCAAACTCCCGTGTGTTTCTACATTGATCTATTCACCCAATACTGGTATTTAGAAATTCTTTATAAATTTTAGCAGATTCTTCTTTCCTGCCCACCCCCCCCCCCTTTTTTTTTTTTTTTTTTTTGAAACACTGTTTCACTCTTATTGCTCAGACTGGAGTGCAAGGGCATGATCTTGGCTCACTGCAACCTCTGCCTTCTGGGTTCAAGCAATTCTCCTGCCTCAGCCTCCCAAGTAGCTGGTATTACAGGTGCCTGCCACCATGCCTGGCTAATTTTTGTATTTTTATTAGAGATGGGGTTTCATCATGTTGGCCAGGCTGATCTCTAACTCCTAACCTCCAGTGATCCACCTGCCTCGGCCTCCCGAAGTGCTGGGATTACAGGTGTGAGCCGCCACGCCCGGCCTTCTTCTTACCTACTTTTATGTTGACTACCTCTTCCTCCCATGCTTTGCCAAAATTATAGCAGTTTGTACCATCTCTCGTTGAAGAGGCCTGTAACTTTTTGGAATTTACTTCATTTGGTTGTCTTTTACCTCAGCTCTCTGATTAGTACAAAAATGGTTATCAACTTTTAGTCTTTTTATTGTTGTTACAATGACAGCAACATTCCCTGATACTTTCTACATTTTTATATGAAGGTAGAACTGCATTATTCTTTGTGGTACCGAAATTGCCACGACTTTGTCTAGTGAGGTCTCTTTAAGAAGGGTCTTATGTCCCTTAGATACAATCCCATTAATATTTGACAAATCCTTTGCCTTGTGGCACAACAAGGTGTCCTAGGCTATTTTGTATATTTCCTGCCCCAGAATTAGAATCAGCGATTTGTTTAAGGACCTCTGGTTCCTTTTAGTAGGAAATGGTCAACTTAGCTAGCTTTTTAAATATGAAATTACCCATTTTGGATACATGGTTAATGGACTTCTTAGGCTTTTCTTCCTGTGAATTGTCTAGTGCATTCTTTGACCTCCACGTGTTGTTAAATCACTTTTTAAAATGAGCTTCTTAAGTAATGTCAAATTTGAAAGTTTTAAAAAAGGTGCCTCATTTGGGAAAAGGAGTGTGGATGGTGGAACCATAGTTTTGCCATCTATTACCAGAATGAGGTAGTTTATAAAACTTTGTATTCTATTTTATAAGTGATTGTAATCTCAATATTGATCTCAAAATATGAAGAAATACTCTATATTTACCTTATGAATTAATTTCATTTCCTCTTGATGTGGTATCTTGAGGTTCTCCAGAGAAACAGAACCAATAGGAGTTATCTATGTATCTGTATCCAAAAAGAGATTTATTATGAGAAATCGGCTGATGTGATTAGGGAGGCTGAGAAGTCCCACAGTCTGCCATCTGCAGGCTGGAGACCCTGGAAAGCTGGTGGTGTAATTCATTGCAGGTCTAAAGGCCTGAGAACCAGGGGAGCTGATGGTGTAAATCCCAGACTGACAACAGGAAAAGATGAGATGAGCTGTCTCAGCTTCAGCAGTGAGACAGGAAAAAAAGGGCAAATTCCTCCTTTCTCTGCATTTTCTTCTATTCAGATCCTCAGCAGATTGGATGATGCCCACCCACATTGGAGAAAGAAATCTATATACTGTGTCCACCAGTTTAAAGGCTAATCTCACCTGGAAACATCTTCACAGACATACCAAGAAATAATGCTTAATCTCTGCACCCTGTGGCCCAGTCAAGTTGACACATAAAATTATTTCATATGATTTGTGTTACATGAGGTTATTTTTTTTCCAGTTGATAAAGGGAAGGTAGTAACTTATAAACTGAACAAAGGATTTTTATTATGTTTTATGCTATGTTTTATTTCTTTTTGTCTTAAATTGTAGAGGCAGCCCAAAACCCTGTCCAGCTATTGCAGGTGCAGTGGTTTCTAAATCCGAGCTTTACTGGCTTATTTCTAGTCCCTCATAAGTATTGATTATCACTGTACTACAATTAAATGACTAAATTTAACCCCCTCCCCCACCATATAGATCAGATATATAGTTGTAGAGGGAAAAGTACAATAAAATTTTCATTTTAAAAAGGGTAAAATGTAAGTTCTCTATGTTGATGACTATCCCAACATACCCTCTTGCACAGAGAAATAAGGTAAATTTTAGATAGCAGTTGTGAATCTCATCCGCCTTTATTTTTTGACTCATTTCGCCAGCAATGGAGCAAAGTTTTTGGTCAGCAATCTGGCTGCTCCCGTTTTATTCGACTAGTGGATTTTGCTTTCCTTGAGGGAGCACTGGGGAGGAATATACAGGGACTGGACTATTTTAGCAGAGTCTGCTTTTTGGTATAAGGGCTTCATTTTGGGGATTGTTTTAGAGGTTGAATATCATTGACCTTCCTTGCCAGGATTGGGCTTTTTCTAGGAATACAACTGCAATGTAACTGCCTGTCAGTCCTCACATTGCTAATAATCTACTCCAAAAGCGTTATCAACATTTACCAGCTCTTATGTATGACCCATGGCTATTCTTAAGTCATGAGAATTATTAGAGTGTCTTCTGTTGCACTTATGGAATCATTAGAGATTATCTTGTTAAATTGATTCCAGTTGCCCTGTTTCTTCTGAAAGCTACCACATAGGCTCATTTACATTTGCCAAACAATATTTTATCTCCTTGTTTGATATTTGAAGTACACTATAGTTTTAAAATGCCTTACAACTCAGATGCCTGGCTCTCTCTGTGTTCTTTAACATAATTTTTAAAATCAATCTCCCTTCATCGATTTTCCCCTTACCCTTCCTGGCCTCAGATAACCACCAGTCTAACTCTTAATCTTTATGAGATCCACTTTTTTTTTTAGCTCCAAAATATGAGTGAGAACATGTGATATTTATCTTTCTGTGCTTGGCTTATTTCCCTTAACATAATGCCTCTAGTTCCATCCATGCCTTATATATTGATATCTTTAACTTATGCTACTTTATGTCTAATTTTTGTATTAAGATTTAGTATTTTTCCAGCCAAGGGTGGTGGCTCATGGCTGTAATCCCAGCACTTAGGAAGGCTGAGGAGGGAGTATTGTTTGAGGCCAGGAGTTCAAGGCCAGCCTGGGTCTACAAAAAACTAAAAAATTATGTCAGTGTGGTAGCATGCACCTGTAGTCCTAGCTGCTCAGGAGGCTGAGGCAGAAGAATCGTTTGAGCCCAGGAGTTCGAGGCTGCAGTGAGCTATGGCTGTATCACTGCATGTGAGCCAGGGTAACAGAGTAAGAGCCTGTCTCTAAATAAATAAACACATTTTTAAAACGATTTAATATTTTTTCCAAAAAGCAATTTATTAGTCTAAAACAGAATAAAATAACTATTTTTACTAATCTTTATGGATTTGGAATCCTCCTTGCTTTTTATAATCATATATTTTGTTGTGCTTCACATGCAAATCATTGAAATATTTAGTGCCATTAGCCCAGGCTTAAGCTAAACAATAAGCACACAGTTTCCCAACTCAGCGTTGAGCAAAACAACATATATATATGTGTGTGTGTATATATGTATATATATATATATATATATATATATATATATAGAGAGAGAGAGAGAGAGAGAGAGAGAGAGAGAGGTTTTCCGAAATTAAAACCAGTTTTATTATATTCAGATGACTTTCAAAGCAAATAGAAAATGAATTTCAAAAGCTGAATGTTTCTTAAGTAGTTCCCAATTTTGTTTTGTTTCTGGTTTATAGAAGCTAGCAGAATGTTGACATGTATGCCACTAATGACCTATCTTAAAAGCATATAGATTTATTTGATTTTAATGGCCTTAACTGGTTTTTTAAGTGGGCAGATGAATATATCTGCAAATTGATAGATCTTGTTATATCAGCATTCTTTATCATTTTCATAATAACTTAAAACATTTTTAGTAATTATCCTTGGATTTTTTGGACTGTCTATGGGGTCGTTATAGGCATTTAGCTCAGCAGTGGCATTGGATTAATAGATTATTTTTAACAGTTTATGTGATTTTCTCAAAATGAGATAAACACCTGTAGAAAAATTACTTAATACTTACTGTGTAGCTGAATAACATAGAACTATGAAGACATCACTAGTAAATCTATCAGTGCAAGCATTTGAAATGATTTAGATTCTACATAGGCACAATAAGTAAAATGGAATACTTTCTTTTCCCCAAGATGTGTTTGTTAAATCGAAATGGTGTAGTGAGTATATATTTAATGCCACTTGTAAGAAGATGTGTTTTCAAGGGATTAAAAAGTGTTCTGGTACTTGACAACAAAAGTGCTTATTTGTTAACTCTAAAAGCCACGGTGGTGTGCTGATGAAATTTTTTTCTTGACAGTATTAAATAAAATCTAGAGCATGTGAGGATAAGTGCCAAACCATTTCGGCCTTATATAGCATATAACGAAATACCCTAAAAGCCAAGGTTGAGTGAAAATGCTGATCAGGCTGCCTGTTATACTTGTCATTTAGATGAAAGAGCGCTACAGTTGAAAGAAAATAGTTGCTGCACCCCCTAACAGTGGCAATGTTGCTGAAATGACAGACACTATTTATTTATTTATTTTCTTCACTAGAGTGGTGGGGGAGGAAGGCAGGTGATGGAGACACTGGGAATCAAATTCATTGGCTTCTATAAAAAGCCTCAGCAACACAGAAAATTAAGGGCTCTCATTTGGGTTCATGGAAAAGATAGAAAAGAAAAAAACAGAAAAGTTAAAAGGAAGATAAGGCAATAAACTTTGGTGACAACATTTACCTTTTTTGTTCACATTTTTTAAAAAAACTGTATTTGCCAAGCATGTTTTTGATGTCCCCAAGATAAAATACGCTTTTTAAAAAAATTCGGTTTTGATGCCTTCTTCTAAGGTGATATCCACAGACATTATGTAAGTAGGGATAAAAACTTTAATAGTATTTTTTCAAAAGAGCATTTAATCTAAAGCTCCCATGAAAGGATTCTAATGGCCTTGCAGAGGCAGCGTACCAGTCCACACAACCCAAATCACTCTGGGATTTGCTAGTCAGTTTGGTTGGAGGTGGCTTTAAAAAAAAAAAAAAAAAAAAATATATATATATATATATATTTTTTTAATTATACTTTAAGTTCTAGGATACATGTGCACAACATGCAGGTTTATTACATATGTATACATGTGCCATGTTGGTGTGCTGCACCCATTAACTCATCATTTACATTAAGTATATCTTCTAATGCTATCCCTCCCCCCTGCTCCCACCCCACAACAGGTGCCGGTGTGTGATGTTCCCCTTCCTGTGTCCAAGTGTTCTCATTGTTCGGTTCCCACCTATGAGTGAGAACATGCGGTGTTTGGTTTTTTGTCCTTGCAATAGTTTGCTGAGAATGATGGTTTCCAGCTTCATCCATGTTCCTACAAAGGACATGAACTCATCCTTTTTTATGGCTGCATAGTATTCCATGGTGTATATATGCCACATTTTTTAATCCAGTCTATTATTGTTGGACATTTGGGTTGGTTCCAAGTCTTTGCTGTTGTGAGTAGTGCCGCAGTAAATGTATGTGTGCATGTGTCTTTATAGCAGCATGATTTATATTCCTTTGGGTATATACCCAGTAATGGGATGGCTGGGTCAAATGGTATTTCTAGTTGTAGATCCCTGAGGAATCACCACCCTGCCTTCCACAATGGTTGAACTAGTTTACAGTCCCACAAACAGTGTAAAAGTATTCCTATTTCTCTACATCCTCTGCAGCACAGCAGTTAGAATGGCGATCATTAAAAAGTCAGGAGGTGGCTTTTAATCTTGCTGCTGCCACTGGCTGGTAACCAACCACTGATAGTCATTTACTTTCTCCCGAACTGTTTTTTTCACCTGCAAATTGGGGATGCTAATTGGTCTTTGTATTAAGAGTTGTTGTAAAGATAATGAGATGATTTATGTAAGACTCGTAGAACCTTTGCTTATATTCAGCAAATAGTAGCATTGTCATCAGATAAAATGGCACCTTTGACATATATATCATAGTTTTTCCCTGGAGTCTTCTCAGACCAAATCATTATTCCCTAATCAAGAATGACCATCTTTTATGATGTAACATTTCCTAATAGTGTATCTATCCTCTTTTATTCTCTGAATTTGAAATTTTTTACTTAATATGTTAACATATATCAGATGCTTGATGATATTCTGTCCTTTAACCTGACATTTTTATAGCATAGAAGAACATTGAGTTCAGCCATCTTGTATTCTATTCCTTACTAGTTTTTTCCTCTTACTTTGCAGTGGTTTTCTTTTGTTTCCTGTGGCCTACCCTACTTTTAGGGAAGAATGAAATAACATATAACCTCTAATTGCATGCACCTTCTTCAGTACTGTAAGGCAGGCTTTATCTGTCATCACGAAATTAAAGGATGTTTCTGATTTCCCAGTCATATCAAATGAAGATTACATTGGCAGATGGCTTTCAGCCAGTCATCAGGATCCTAAGCAGGGTTGTAAAGCAGTCCTGCTCTTTTGCCTCCCTTTCCTGAGCTTCTTTTCAGTTTTGACAACTTTTCTTCACTCCTCTGTATACCCACAGAATGTATCTTGATAAAATACTATGCTTAAGCATTTTCAAGCACCCTATTTATTAGTGTTTTGGTTTAGAGTTACCTTTTTTTCCTTTTCTTTAACCCCAATCTTTTCTGCTTCTCATCTCCAAACGTTGGAGTTTAATGATTTTCCAAAGAAAGCCTTTACAGAAAGGTGTGAAAAACTCCCTTGAGACTTTTGGGTTTTAAAAGAGAAGTTAGCTAACACAAGCAAATCTCTGCTTTGTAAAAAATCTGAGATTTCTTGCCAATTTCCCAGAACTTTCTTACCTTCAATAACTATAAGTATAGTCCAGTAGTTTGGAATTTCACTTCTGAAAGGTTGATATTAATTGTAATCATTCATATATAAATTTCAGAAGGAAAGAAGGAATTATAGTTATGGTATATAAGCACATTAATAGCAGCTACACTTGTTAAGTATTTTTTTGTGTGTGTGCCAGGAACTCTTCTAAGTGCTTACTTATATTGGCCTTTAAATCAACCTGTTAAGTAAAGAAATATTTGAAAAATTGAGATTACAGCACATTTTTGAAATTAGGAAAACCAACTTGTAATACAATAGTTTTAAATATAAATACATAACATGGCCCAGAGAAGGACTTTTGAGTACTAGGTTTGAGTCTTCTAAATTTATGTTGATTTCGAGCTAGGTTACTCAATTCATTTCTTTATTATTAAAATAGGAATATCTAGATTACCTATTTATTATGAGAATGTATAATAATGTTTAATAAATTACAAAATGTAAGCTGGAGGTGGTATTCTTAATTAGATAACTTCAGGTAAGAGTTCCTAAAATTTTAATAAAGAAAGAAAAAACAGATACCTTTTTACAGCTTTTACTAATATTAGACCAAAGTCTGTTATGTGCTTTTAAAGGAGTCTGTTAATTCAAACTGTTTCTTTATAAATAATATAGTAGGAGGTGATTATAAGTTGCTTGATATTTCTTATGCTTTTCGTAGTAAAATTTGGAGGCCCCTGGATTTTTGAAAAGTAATTTTGTTTTGATTATGTTCTTAAAGTAGTAAAATTCATTGATGGGGACTACTGTTTACTCTTAGGCTTCTTACAGATCATCCACAGTACTATATGTTCTTATCCTGCTTTGTCTTTAGAGGATTGTGATGTTTAATCACGGTCTTTCCTAATAGATCCCATTAATTTCATCAGGCTTACTTAGTGCCTTTTTTTATTAAATATTCTTCATCAAATAACCTGAAAAAAATAATAATTATTATCATTATTATTATGTACCAGGCACTGAACTGATCACTTTATATGCAGGGATTTTGTTAACTAGCAAAATTACTTCTCAAAGAACGTAACAAAAAATGTTTTTTTAATTGCAGTCTTCTTACAAAACCAATTTTACAAGTTTTATTTTGCATATCCTGTTTTGAAAGATATCATTATTATCTCATAAGCAGAATACTTATTATTCTACCACAGATGTCAGCTTTGCTATTTGTGAAATTATTAAAATATCCTAAATACAGTGATTTTTGGCTATTCATACCATTTCCAAGAGTTTTGGTTTTCTTTAATTTGTCTTTTCCTACTTTAATCTAAGTTTTTATTTCTGCTTTTTGTTTTGTTTGAGACAGGGTCTCACTCTGTCACCCAGGCTGAGTACAGTGGCGCGATTACAGCTCACTGCATCCTCAACCTCCTGGACTCAAGCGATCCTCCCAAGTAGTTGGGACTATAGGCATACACCACCATGCCCATCTGATTTCTGATTTTTATAGAGACAGGATCTCATCATGTTGTCCAGGCTGGTCTCAAACTCCTGGGCTCAAGTTATTCTCCTGCTTCAGCCTGCCAAAATGCTGGGATTACAGGCAGAGCCACTGTGCCTGTCCTTTATTTATATTTTTAACATAATATTTTGTTGTTAGACCTAATACTCTACATTTTAAATTATTCTATTCTATTTTACTTAAACCTATTTTTCATTGTATTGTGATTGAGATTTTTTCTTAGTTTGTAGAGTTAAGAAAACCTTCTATAATTCTATTTATTTGTTAGCTTTTTGTAGTGTTTAAAATTATTTTTCTGTATTCTAGAGCTATTTGTGTTTACCTGGAATTATACCACTTTTATACTTTCTAATCAATACTTACTTTTACTGATTTTTTAAAAGAAATTATGACCATTTTTAATGGCCAGTATTTTGAGTCACTTTCCTTTAAAATCTTGCTTTTTAAGAAAAATACTTTGTCAAGCTTGTTACATTGTACAGTAAGCTCTATGTAGGATGATGGTGCTAGCATCTTCCCAAACTGACTTAGAATTTTGACTCTTAATATACTATATAAGTAAGAGGATCCGTCAGCATTTACTTTTAGTTCTTTTGCAGAGATGAATAAACATCCTGAAATGCTGATTTAGACAATGTTTTAAAAATGCTTTGATGCACTTTGGTATATGACTGACTCTTGCTTAGTTAAATGTTTTGCAGCATTATAACATAGTTGAATTCAGATCATCTTTTAAAGCAGTTGTCAGAAAAATGTGGGCCAGCATGGTAGAATGTATTAGCTCAATACATTGTCTCCATTTTATTATGAAGCTGCTGAGGAAGCTGTGATATACAGCACTGTCATTACAGATCTATTGTTAGGATGGTTCCACAGTCTTCTTTGCACTGCCATTAATTTATAGCAGTAAACAATATGTAGCCTTCCAACTGCAGCAAAGCAGAATCTTTTAATGAGGTGGATGTTATTACCACAATAAATCAGTGCTTTCGCGTAATGTATAATTCAATGTGTGTATTCCCACTGTAACTTCTCTGAGTAAGCTGATAGTGTATCATTGTCATTGCACAGCTCCACTGGTCTTTTTTTTTTAACTTTCTTTTATTTGGGGACTTCTTTTTTATATGCTTGCAAATAAACGTGGTATGTCTTGATAGCTGTCGTATAGCAGGCTTCAGAAACCAACTGTAACAATAACAGCCAAAATCAATACTGTGGGTTCTACCAATATGGATCTCTGCAAGATGCCATTTTTTTTCAGATGCTAGTGAAATCAATCCTAATTGGTTTTAGCATTATATTCAAGAAACGTGATTCTATAACTATTGATTTTGGGGGTTACTCATTTGGAGAGTAATAAAAATAGGAGCAGATAAAGTGAATACTTATTATGCTTCAGACCATACAAAAGGAGCATTGATTCTATTTTTAATTCATATAATTTGTCTTCTAGTGATTTTATTTCTTCTCTCTTTTCTTTTCCATGGCTCATTCTTTAGGGACAACAACTAAAATACATTTAAAGGCATTTCAAATTGGTTCTGTAACAAAGAAAGAATCCTTGGAGTCAGCTCCATTCTTAACTGGCACATATTTAGTAAGTCAGATATGATTCTTTTGTACAGAAACTAATGCTTTAAAAGATAGCATTTTAAATTAGTTTACTGTGAAACTGACTTAAAATGGTAATTAAAGATTTTTAAAATTTTGCTTGTAAAGGAAAAAATGCCTTAACATACAATAATATTCATTAAAACCAAGCTATTGAGTGATGATGCCAAAGATAGTTTTGAAAAAATAATTAACAATTTAATAAGGATAACCAAAATGATAAATTTAAGATGTTGCTTAACATGTAACATGAAAAGCAGTTTAAAAACTGGTCTGAACATTGCTTCATTTTCAATAAAATATTTCTCAGTGCATCCCTTTTAAACCAATATTTTTGATTTATTTATTTTAACATTTTCTCCACAAATAATCAGATATTTTCTTTCTGTTATAAATAAGGAGTGATTAACTAATAGGTGTTCATAAATGATATAAGGCAAAAGACTGTTGTGTATCTTTTTTTAAATAAAGAATTTTTTATTTATTAATTTATTTAGAGACAGGACAGGGACTCTCTCCATCACCAAGGCTGGAGTACAGTGGCACAATCATAGCTCACTGTAGGCTTTAAGGTGCTTGGGCTCATGTAATCCTCCTACCTCAGCCTCCCGAGTAGCTGGGATTACAGGGACATGCCACTATGCGCAGCCGATTTTTAAATTTTTTTGTAGAAACAGGGTCTCACTATGTTGCACAGGCTGGTCTTGAACTCCTGGACTCAAACAATCTCCCACCTCGACCTCCCAGAGCACTGGGATTATAGGTGTGAACCACTGCACCTGGCCTCTGTATCTTATGAAAAGAAGTAATCTTATATATCATGTCTTTTTCAGTGAGTGGGTACTTAACATTTTGAATACGGAATAGAGATTTTCTAGAGATCAGAATGTTTTTTGAGAATGAATTGTTACTTAAAGCAGTTGATCTTAACATTTTTTGAGCCTTAGACTCCTTTGAGACTCTCAAGCATATTCTCTACGTCTTTGTAAGGATATGTACATGCATAGGCTTGATCACACAGAATTTTGCCTGCTATTTAATGGAGTTCGTGTATTACCTAAATGACAACAGCAGTAGCAATAATAAAGATACAGGTACCAACTAACATTTATTAAGCTTTATCTTATGCTAAGCAATTTGCTAAAGGCAATTATTTCATTCAAACTCTTTAACCCAAATTCTAAACAATTATCTTAAAAACCATAGTTAGCATTCATTGAACGTTGTCAGGCATAGTTTGTTGGACTTTAACGTACCTACTCATTTTTATCTTCCAAAACAACCTTTTGAATGAGTATTATTATCATTCCAGTGAGCTCAGGGTTTTCACCATGTTGCTATATTGCTCTGGGACCTCTGCTGTAAAGTATTATTTTCCAGTATAAGTTCATAATCTGTCTACTATTCTTTTTTTAATGCGATATATATATAGCATTATTTTTAATGTGATATTTTTAATTTTATAATATATATATATAGAGAGAGAGAGAGAGTTCATGCCGGCATATTTTTAATCCTCTGGTTAAAGTATATACATATATATGTATATATCTATATATCCTATATAGACATATAGGCATATTTTTATCCTTTGTTTTCACTCACACTAGTAGAAATTTCTAGTTTCTTAACCCTGTTTTCCCACAATTTCTTTCTTCCTTTGTGCTCCATCTCACCTATCTCCCAGTTTTGTTTCATCCTCTTCTAAGAACCCATTATAAGTCAGTCCTTCAGCTTTAAGATTCTGTTTCTGGTTGTTGCTTCTAATTAACTAAATGTGGTTTTATAGGTGCTTTCCAAAGTGTTGTACAGCTGATATTTCACTTCATGTAATTGTCTTTATCTGATGCTTGTTATGGGATGATTAAACACCTATGTTCCATGAAAACTAGACTTATGGAGAAATGATGGGTTCATCCATTCACTTACTTATATGTTGTGTTTAACTTGTTGGAAAAAATATTGCTTTTTACTCCCAATATGATACTGTGTTGCAGCTTAAGTAGTATATATTTTTAAAATTCACTTTTATACTTACCAGTAGGATATCATCAGAAGAGAGGAAGACATGAAGGATGATTACATTGATGTATTCTTTGTTTTTTCCCTCCCTATTGGCAGCCAATAGGAGCTCTGAACCCAAAAAGAGCAGCATTCTTCGCTGAGCGTTATGAATCATGGGAAGATGATCAAGTTCCAAAGTTTCACTATGGTACTCATTACTCAACTGCAAGTTTTGTTCTTGCATGGCTGCTAAGAATAGTAAGTTCAATTTGAATAATACACCATGGCTAAATAAATTCAGTGTTGTGAAGGATATGCAAAAATTAGAACTCATAAGCATATTTTTTTGAATACTAAAAGAGTCAGTTTAAATTATTGAAGTTCTAATTATAAATATCTCTATCTCATTTGGCTTGTATTGCCTTAAAAATGTTTCATCTGGAATTGTA